>NC_000010.11:133740466-133787422 GCF_000001405.40 Homo sapiens | reverse complement strand
CCCTAACCCTAACCCTCACCCTAACCCTAACCCTCACCCTAACCCTAACCCTCACCCTAACCCTAACCCTAACCCTCACCCTAACCCTCACCCTCACCCTCACCCTCACCCTGACCCTCACCCTCACCCTCACCCTCACCCTGACCCTGACCCTGACCCCGACCCCGACCCCGACCCCGACCCTAACCCCTAACCCTGACCCTGACCCTGACCCTGACCCTGACCCTGACCCTAAACCCTAACCCTAACCCTAACCCTAACCCTAACCCTAACCCTAACCCAACCCTAACCCCTAACCCGAACCGGAACCCGAACCCGAACCCGAACCTGAACCCGTACCCGAACCTGAACCCTAACCCTCCATGAGTAATATGCCTGTTATATTTAGGGTGTCATGTGTGCATTAGGAATGCTGCATTTGAGTTCCGACGCTGCACTTGAACCCTGCAATACAGCCCCTCGCCTTGCCTTGGGAGAATCTCGGTGCGCAGGATTCAGAGAGGCTTTTCGTTTCCCGCTTTCCACACTAAACCGTTCTAACTGGTCTCTGACCTTGATTATTCAGGGCAGCAAACGGGAAAGATTTTATTCACCGTCGATGCGGCCCCGAGTTATCCCAAAGGCAGGCAGTACCCCCAACGTCTGTGCTGAGAAGAATGCTGCTCCGCCTTTACGGTGCCCCCCACGTCTGTGCTGAACAGAACGCAGCTCCGCCCTCGCAGTGCCCTCAGCCCGCCCGCCCGGGTCTGACCTGAGAAGAACTCTGCTCCGCCTTCGCAATACCCCCGAAGTCTGTGCAGAGGAGAACGCAGCTCCGCCCTCGCGATGCTCTCCGGGTGTGTGCTAAAGAGAACGCAACTCCGCCCTCGCAAAGGCGGCGCGCCGGCGCAGGCGCAGAGAGGCGCGGGGCGCCGGCGCAGGCGCAGAGAGGCGCGGGGCGCCGGCGCAGGCGCAGAGAGGCGCGCCGCTGTTGGGGAGACGCGGAGCAGGGCGTAGACGCACGCCGGCGCCTCCCCGGAGGGGAGGGGTCGCTGGGCGGGCGGGAGTGAGGCGCGGCGCAGGCGCAGAGACGCACGTCGCTGGGCTGAGGGTGGCGGGGAGTGTTGCAGTCGCACAGTCGCGCGCCGCCGGGCGGGGAGCGCGGGGGTGGCGCGGTGCACGCGCAGAGACACACGTCCCCGGCGGCGCAGAGACGAGTGGAACCTGAGTAATCTGAAAAGCCCGTTTCGGGCGCCCCCTGCTTGCAGCCGGGCACTACAGGACCAGCTTGCCCACGGTGCTCTGCCATTGCGTCCGCTACTGGCGACTAGGACAACTGCAGGGCCCTCTTGCTTACAGTGGTGTCCAGCGCCCCGTGCTGGCGCCAGGGCACGGCAGGGCTCTCTTGCTCGCAGTATAGTGGTGGCACGCCGCCTGCTGGCAGCTAGGGACATTGCAGGGCCCTCTTCCTCACATTATAGTGGCAGCACACCCGCCTGCTGGCAGCTGGGCACACTGCCGGACCCTCTTGCTGCCATTGTCGTGGCTGCACGCCACATGCAGGCAGATGGGGACTACGCAGGGCCCTCTTGCTCCCGGCGTAACGGCTGGCGTCCCCTACTGGCCGCCTCCTGCACCACTTAAAGTCAGAGCGCCAGTTATTAATCCCCATCAGTTCTCCAAATTAAAACTGAAAAGGAGCTATTACTGCGGAGAGCTGATGTCCCAGTTATTAACTTGGAAGACAGCTTTTCACCAAGAGGCAGTACAAAGATGGAAGATAACTTCATTGAAAAGAAATACAGTGTAAAGAGCTTATTGTACAAAAATAGGGAGGAGTAGGCTGATAGTGCATGATAACAGCCTAAGAGTCCTGTGCAGGGATTTTTATTTTGGACTTCTTCACATTCCTGCCTCTGTCTCAAGTCTCCGCCTGTTTTCTTTGGTTTTCCTGCTACTGCCTTAGGTCCCCGACTTGCCCCACTTAGCCTTGTGGGACCTCCTCACTGTTGATTGAGGTACATGTGTGGTGATCAACCCGAATCCACTCTGGCACCAGCCTCCTTCCTGCCATACCAGGCAGGCTGACAGCGGTCACGTTTGTATCTACTGCAGCTGCCTCTTTTGAATGTCTTTCTCTGCCCTAATCTGTACTTATGGTGCCAGGTTTCTCTTAAGAATGTCCCCTTTCTCCTTCTTATCAGCATGTAGCTAGCAATATTCTGACATTTTTATTGCAGAGTGAATGATGATTGGGGCATCTCAAGAGAAGTTCTAGGGTGTTTCTGCGTAGGTACCTCTTCTCCCTCCTAACCACAATTGACAAGTGCCCATCCACTCCAGCACTAGAGATGCTACTAATATATGCATTTTTGGTGGTCCCTCCACGTGAGCCTTCACAGACTTTCCCTTTTCCAGGAGCTCCCCCTCCTGTTCATGTCTAGCTAGCTATCTACTCTAACAGAGCCCACTATCCTGTGTCTTTCCCAAAAATAGTGAGGGAATGATTAATTGGAAACCATAAGAAATGATATGCATGTAGACGAAAACTTTACAACTTACACAAATAATCACTCAAAATCATCATTACACTAAAAATGCAAAACTATACAATTTCTAGAAGAAACTATAGAGGAAAAGCTATGTGCCTTTGCGTTTGGTAATGAATTTTAACAAATGACACAGAAGGTTGATATACACAGAAGAAATGACAATGTGGATTTCTTAATATTTACAGTTTATACTCTGGAAGAGACCTTGTTAAGAGAACAAAAAGACAAGCCACATATTGAAGAAAATATTTGCAAAATACAGATCTGAGAATTTGTATTCAAAATATATAAAAAATTGTTAAAACTAAACAATAAGTTAAACAGCCCAATTAAAAATGCACACAGATCTGAACAGATGCCTCATCAAAGAAGATCTACAGATGGCAAGTACACCTACAAAAAGATGCTTAACATACTAGAGAACTGAAAACCACAAAAAGATAGCACAGCTGGTCTATATCTCTTAGAACTGCTAAGCTCTTTAACAAATGACAAATTGCTGGAGGAAAAACAAGAACTCTTTTCATTGCCAGTAGAACACAGTGTATAAGACCAAACTATGCCACCCCAAAATATAATGGTAGGAAACCAGAATATGCAACCCCAAAATATGTCCCTTTGGCTTAAAAATTATTCCAAGCTAATTATTTTGAAAAAAAAAATGCTAACAAAGGAAGTTGTGAAAACAGAGTAAAAGTTACTTGTGTAAGGAAAATTTACACCTATAAAGGAAATCACCATTTAAAAGCTACCTCTCTCGACACCAAGAAGAGAAGGATAACTAAATCACTGAAGAGTCTTATCAATGGAGAATGCATGGACTTAACTCTGTATAACGAACCTTACCCCTGTCTAATGTGCTTTTGCTGGTTAACTTCCCACTACTGCACCTCAAATCTTCTTTCTTTAAGTTGAAGATAGTATTTATGCTTGAATTGAAAGCCACCTGTTGGAGATTTACTCATTTTTCCCTGAGTATATCCCATGTAACCATAAGATATACATGTTTTTAAACTTTTCTGTTTTTCTCATTTTAATCTGTCAGTTTTTACAGAGCGTTCCATCTAAGAATTCCAAAAACAGAAAATTATTTTTCCTCCCCTATTACAAGTTGGGCATTTTTTTCCAAAGCTAAACAAGTCTCACCTTACAATCCAAAAATAACATTCCTAAGTATTTTGACAACTACTTTGATGTTATTTCCCATCAAAAGCTACCATGCAGTTATTTACAGAAGCCCTATTCATAATGACCAAAGGAAAAAAAAGGAATCAGAAAGTCTTACAATAGATGACTGTGTGGGACTCCACTCAGACATCAAAAGTTGTTATAAAGATTATTTAAATGAAAACATTTGAGATACTGAAGATGAAGAAATCTTACCAGAACTTACTTTATCCAATTAAAGCAGAGCTCCCAGTAAAATACAGCTGCCATTAACCCCATCCAAGGAGTTTCTTGCAAATTCAGCTGCCATGAAGACAGCGTACTCTTTCGCATTAGCATTGATAAATGAAAATTAAATTCTAAGCTCCCAACTGACTGAACAGACCCACTCTTGGCTGAGGGGACCCCAGAGTAACTTTCAAAACTGAGTTCTCAGCTTTGCTAGGATGCGATGATGGGGTTAAGATACACATCGTTATACCCCCTCCTTTGCTAACCATGATGAGGCTTTCTTCCCTAAGGATTTAACAGAAACCAGCCCTTTCAAAGCCTCCACCACTGATATCAACCTCTCCTTTCTTGCCTGATAAGAGACCACCCACGATGGAGAGGTTCTGGCCAGCGTACAGAGGATGCACAGAGCGAGTTTTCATTTCCTCTGCTTCACCTTTTAATGTCAGAGGGCTGAAAACTCCACCCTGGGATCATGCTAACACTGCCATTTTTTGTACATGGGACCCATGAAGAAGCAAGAAACTCAATTGTGCGTGCATGCATTTCTCCTTCCATAAATATTCATGACTCCTCCTAGAGCTTATTAAATAAATCTATTTGGCCATTCCACTCAGCATAAATTGCTATTTCCTTTACCTCCTCCTTGAAGCATCTGTTTCTGGCTTCTGGCTGGAGGCTATGCTTCCCAGCCTGTCAGAAGGACAACCCTGCAGGCTACAACCCTTTATAGAAAATAAATCTCTCACTGGGTGGGTGGCTCATGCCTGTAATCCCAGCACTTTGGGAGGCCGAGGTGGGTGGATCACCTGAGGTGAGGAGTTTCAGACCAGCCTGGCCAACATGATGAAACCCTGTCTCTACCAAAACTGCAAAAAATTAGCCAGGTGTGGTGGTGGGCATCTGTAATCCCAGCTAATCAGGAGGCTGAGGCAGGAGAATCGCTTCAACCCAGGAGGTGGAGGTTGCAGTGAACCAAGATCATACCATTGCACTCCAGCCTGGGCAACAAGAGTGAAACTCTGTCTCAAAAAAGAATAAAAATAAGCATAAAAATGAAGAAATGTCTCCTTTCCAAATTTATGAACCTCATCATTCTTCCGTTGACAGCATTAAAAGGTTCAAAAAGACCTTTCCATACTCTCCCACAGAAGCCCTAGAAATTATCATTTTGTTAATCATTCTGGATGCCTGAGAACTTGTAATCCAATGAGTAGAAAGTTTGGTACCCCAATTATGGCTGTCAACCTGCCAGTTCTCAGGAGTTTGTATAAGCCTAAATCCGAAAGGATCTCATCCCATTAGGACCCTTGTCTCCTTTTCTGTTACCTTTTCCCACTGGCTCTGGCAACAGGGGTCTTTCTTTCTCCTTGGCTATCTTTGGATATGGGGGCTCCGTCTTCTGTGCCACCTTAGGGAATGCCTTTTGCAGGCATGGCTAAGTCATTAAAAAGCCTACAGTTTCAGTAACATTTTGAGTGAGTACTCTCTGAAGCTGCGTTGGAATCTCAGGCTTCTTTGTCTGGAAGATAACTCTTGGGCTACAAGTTTCTTATCCTAGCTTTGGTTTTGAGGCCTCTCTGTTCTCCTCTTGGGTTGGAAGTTATTCCTGGCTTTTTGTTTCAAGGTGTCTCTGTGATCTTGATCTTGCTGCTTTCATGGGAACTTCTCAGTTCACTAAATTCTCCCTTCTCCAACCTCTGCTGACTATGTGTTCCACCAATATGGAACTAATTCTACTTCTTTTCCTGTTTGCATGACTTTACTAAGAATTATTTACAACTTTAATGGCTCCTTTGAGAAAATTTTTATTTTCCAAATTGCCTCCTTTTAGACCTTTCCTTTCCCAGTTGAGTCTCTCAACTCCCTATAATCACTGAAACTTCAGGCACCCCACTCCATGCCTTGGAGGCTCTCAATGTGCTCAAGAATCTGCAAAAGCAAACACCTGGGGCTGAAGAATAAAATAGAAAAAAAATTATTTCTCAGCCTCCATAAGATTCTATGTCAAAAAAAAAAGAAAATCTTTAAAATCTCCAAAAATATTGGTGAGAAAAAAGCCTTAGCCCTCATATGAAGAAGAAAAAACTTGTTCCATTTTCCAGATACATAGTTATAATACAAATATAAAATGGGGCAAAGACAAAAACCAAGTCTTCTATATAAAGTAGTGAATTTTGTAGTTATTGTAATCACATTAGGCAGGGGTCTCCATAAAGGCAGAATCAATAGGATATATGTAGATAGATGAGAGAAGATTCATTAGGGGAACTGGTTCACATAATTATGGAGGCTGAGAATTTCCACAATAGCCTGTCTCCAAGTTGGAGAACCAGGAAAGCTGGTAGCATGGCTCACTCCAGATACAAAGGACTCAGAATCAGGGAAGCCAATGGTGTAACTCTGATTGTGAGGCCAAAGGTCTGAGACCCTGAAGTTCTGATGTCAAGGGCAGGAGAAGAAGGATGTTTCCATTTCAGAAGGAGATAATTCACCTTTCCTCTTCCTTGTTATTCTATCTGGGCTCTCAACCAATTGGATGGTGCCTGTATTCATCCATTTTTATACAGCTATGAAGAAATACCTGAGTCTGAGCAATTTATAAAGAACAAAGGGGTTTAATGGGCTGACAGTTCCACATGGCTGCAGGGGCCTCACAATCATGGCAGAAGGGGAAGCAAAGCTATCCCTCTTCACATGGTAGCAACAAGAAGTGCTGAGCCAAAGGGGAAAAGCCCCTTATAAAACCATCAGATCATGAGAACTCACTCACTGTCATGAGAACAGCATGGCGGTAACCACCACCATGATTCAGTCACCTCCCACTGGGTCCCTCCCACGACATGTAGGTATTACAGGAACTACAATTCAAGATGAGATCTGGGTGGGGACACAGCCAAACCATATCAGTGCCCATCCACATTGGGTCATGGTTATCTCAGTGTCTTCCAGAAACACCCTCATAGATATGCCCAGAAATCGTGTTTGACCAGCTATGTGTGTCTCTTAATCCACTCAAGTAGATGTCTAAAATTAACTGTCAGAATATTTATGCCTGATTCATGGCTGAAATTGTTTGACCAGCTGTGTGTGTCCCTTAATCCAGTCAAGTAGATGTCTAAAATTAACCGTCAGAATATTTATGCCTGATTCATGGCTGAAATTGTGTTTGATCAGCTATGTGTGTCTCTCAATCCAATCAAGTAGATGCCTAAAGTTAACCATCAGAATATTTATGCCTGATTCATGGCTGAAATCGTGTTTGACCAGCTATGTGTGTCTCTTAATCCAGTCAAGTAGATGTCTACAATTAACCATCAGAATATTTATGCCTGCTTCATGGCTGAAATCGTGTTTGACCAGCTATGTGTGTCTCTTAATCCAGTCAAGTACATGTCTAAAATTAACCATCAGAATATTTATGCCTGATTCATGGCTGAAATCGTGTTTGACCAGCTATGTGTGTCTCTCAATCCACTCAAGTAGATGTCTACAATTAACCATCAGAATATTTACGCCTGATTCATGGCTGAAATTGTGTTTGACCAGCTATGTGTGTCTCTCAATCCAGTCAAGTAGATGTCTACAATTAACCATCAGAATATTTATGCCTGCTTCACGGCTGAAATCATGTTTGACCAGCTATGTGTGTCTCTTAATCCAGTCAAGTAGATGTCTAAAATTAACTGTCAGAATATTTATGCCTGATTCATGGCTGAAATTGTGTTTGACCAGCTGTGTGTGTCCCTTAATCCAGTCAAGTAGATGTCTAAAATTAACCATCAGAATATTTATGCCTGATTCATGGCTGAAATCGTGTTTGGCCAGCTATGTGTGTCTCTCAATCCAGTCAAGTAGATGTCTACAATTAACCATCAGAATATTTATGCTGATTCATGGCTGAAATCGTGTTTGACCAGCTATGTGTGTCTCTCAATCCAATCAAGTAGATGCCTAAAGTTAACCATCAGAATATTTATGCCTGATTCATGGCTGAAATCGTGTTAGACCAGCTATGTGTGTCTCTTAATCCAGTCAAGTAGATGTCTACAATTAACCATCAGAATATTTATGCCTGATTCATGGCTGAAATCTTGTTTGACCAGCTATGTGTGTCTCTTAATCCAGTCAAGTAGATGTCTACAATTAACCATCAGAATATTTATGCCTGATTCATGGCTGAAATCGTGTTTGACCAGCTATGTGTGTCTCTCAATCGGATCAAGTAGATGTCTGAAATTAACCATCAGAATATTTATGCCTGATTCATGGCTGAAATTTCAGGATGAAAGCTATGAAATCTCTATTTGTGTTTGTATATCTATTAATGTATGTTATGTATATGTGATATTTTCTTAACTCCAGAGAGCATTGCAAAATTCATTTATGAAATCCTCTAAAAGTGCTCTATTCTAACTTGGCTTGGAAAAAAATAAGCATTTATAAATAAATATTCACCAAACTCCTAGAAATATAGGAACTGATCAAATGTTTCTTAAGTTAACATGATTTGGATAAAACTTAGTTAAATAAGATTAATATAGTATTTTTGGTGTAATAAAACAACTATATCTTCAAAATTATCATTATTGAATATAAAACAAGCATAAATTCCTATTCTGCTTGAGTTCTAGTCAAATAAGCTAATATTATACTTACTAGAAATGTAAAATCTTAAAGCTTATAGATTTGATTCTAATTAAGTTGTCATTCTTATGAAAAACATTATTTTTTTATGCTGAAAAAATACACATATATTTAGAGTTAGCCAGCTGGACTCAGTTTAGATGATCCCAATTTTGTTACAACATCGAAAGCATCATAATCAGGAGCAAGTCGAACATATGCCTTGTTCTCTTTATCAGGACAAATCAGGGTGGTGACCTTGGCCACATCACTGTCATAGAGCTTCTTCACAGCCTGTCTGATCTGGTGCTTGTTGGCTTTAACATCCACAGTGAACACAAGCGTGTTGTTTTCTTCTATCTTCTTCCGGCCGACTCAGTGGTCAGCGGAAACTTGATGATAGCATAGTGGCCAAGCTTGTTTCTCCTGGGGGTGCTCTTCCGAGGATATCTGGGCTGCCTCCGGAGTCGCAGTGTCTTGGGCCGCCTGAAGGTGGGTGACATGCGGATCTTCTTTTTTGCGTGTGGCTGCGGACACCTTTCAACACTGCCTTCTTGGCCTTTAAAACCTTCACTTTGGCTTCGGCTTTAGGAGGAGCAGGAGCTTCCTTCGCTTTCGGTGCCGTCTTGTGAAAAGCGAAAAACATTATTTCAAAAATAATTTGTTTACAGTAAATCTGCCTAAGAATAGTTTCCAAAGTACTTTTGGTAATTTTTAACCTTAAAGTTAAGCTAAGTAAAAGATCTGCATTAAATATCTAGACCATTTATAAATAAGATACAATACTAAAACATTAATTACTGAACATAAATAATTCAAGTTTATATACTTTTGGCTTCCTGTTTTTACAGAGAGACTAAAGATATTTTGGCCCGTTAATAAACATGTTTTTTTCTGCCACACTGAGGAATTGTATTATGAGGAAACACATCCCTCTAGATGTTGGGAGATGGTATATTCATACATTTTCTAACCTACTATAGAATGCTAATATATGACAGTTTATAACTGTCTACTTCCTAGTTTTCTCTGGAAAATAAAAGATTACTAAGTATTAAAATTATAATCAATATATGTAAATAAAACTACTAGAAATAATAGAATAACTAGAAACAACTCTATGCAAAGCATGCAAGAAAAGTAGGGCATGTTTCGCAAGTAAAGTAGGTTGCATTTTTTATAAGGAAAACCATACAGAAGATACAAATAAAAAGAGATACCTAACCTTCCCTGTGTTATATTTGTATGGGTAAAATGTTATGTTTTCAGAAATTATATAAAATTCCTGGAAGTTTGTCAATGTCCTCCTTATCCATGCTATGTGCCACTATAGAGTAATGAGTCATAATTCCAATTATTACTTTAAATGTTGTGCCAGGCACAGTGGCTCATGCCTATAATCCCAGCACTTTAGGAGGCTGAGGCGGGTGGATCACAAGGTCAGGAGATCCAGACCATCCTGGCTAACCCGGTGAATCTCCATCTCTATTAAAAATATAAAAAATTAGCTGGGCGTGATGGCAGGCACCTGTAGTCCCAGCTACTCGGGAGGCTGAGGCAGGAGAATGGCGTGAACCCAGGAGACAGAGCTTGCAGTGAGCCGAGATCGCACCGCTGCACTCCAGCCTGGGCGACAGAGCAAGACTCTGTCTCTGAATAAATAAATAAATAAATGTTGTCTGCCACAGAAAAAATAGAATATCCTTGTCAGTTGTGGTATAATGAACTCTCATCAGATCTTTCATCACAGCCATTTCATACTTTTTGTCATTTAGATATTATTTCCCCCTGATGCTTTCCTGAAAGCTCCTGCAATCAACTACAGGTCAGAATGTTCGTCTCCAAGACAGGACTCCCTCTGAGACTCACAGAAAAGACTATGACAGGTACTCTGGTTATAGGCTTCTGATGATATTGCTTAAATAACTTTAAGACCATACACTTGACTCAGTTAAGGTCTCCAGAAGTCTGGTTGGGAAACTGATGGGTTCATGACACTGCTAACTCAAGATCCACAAGACTGGAATTGATTACATGGCACTGAATGAACTGATGAAAATTGATTATAATTGTATAGCTTTTTGGAGCATTGCTGGTTAATATTCTAGTTTCTGGATTTAAGAAATCTCTTTCTCTTACTCTAACTGTAACTTACAACAATTTAGTAGATTATACTTTTGTAAACAGAAATGAAGCGTTTATCTTTTTTTCTTGGCTGATTTTTCCAGAATTTTGAAATCCTTACTGAATACTCTTATTTCCACGATGATATTGTTGTTAGCAAAAGTCCAGTAAGAATCTATTCACCTTATAACAGGACATAATTGGAAATTTTGGTTATATTATCAAGGTTTTTACTGGAATATCATATTTAGGAAGTGTACCTAAGATCAGTTATGACCAGCAATTTTAAGGAAGTAAGGTTGACTTTTATGGAGACAATGCTTACAAAGCACTGTGGAAAACTTTGAGGAAAGTTCTTCCTTAAAGATTATAAAGTCACAACTACCCACTATTTTTATATGTGTGTGTGTGTGTGTGTTCCAAATCACTTGTCCTAGCTTGCTCCAGCATGCCTGGACAGAACTAGACAAGCCCCAGCCCATAGTGCATGCCATTCCTTATTTGGAGATGCTTCCTTAACTATCCCTGGGCAACTTCCTTTTCTTTCCTTCTTCTATTCCCCTTACCTAATTAAGAAAGTTTTAAACTAACAGCCAATCGGGTAAAGTGTAAAATGGGAGGTCCTATTCCAGCCAATGGAAACTGGACACAGCAGTAGGGTAGACACGTCAGGTTATAAGTAACTCTGTCTCCTTTGTTTGGTGTGCTCTTGTAGCTGGACAGCTATTGAGTAGCACCCTTTGTGCAGAAAAATAAAGCTCGCCTTGCTAAGAGATCATTTGTTCCCATGTTAGTTCTTTTTTTTGGGGGGGGGAACATAAAAAACTTCATTCCCAACAGCACTCTGAGAAAACCCAGCCTGATACCTAGATTACAGGGTTCACAGCCTTATAGGTTAGTAAGGAAGGTCATTTCCTGGTAGGCCCAGGAATTTAGGGATATTTTGGGGCCTCAAGAAGAGAGGAATTCACACAAAGCTATAAGGACTGCAGCTGAAATTTGATAGTATGCTCTTGGCTTGGCTTTTAGCCTGAATAAGGCCTTTAAAAGTCAAGTCTGAGATTCTGTATGAAAACTTCCAGCAAAGAAACCTGAAAGCACCTACGTGGTCATCTCCTGTTCTTGCTGCACTTACGTAAATAATCAAGCAAAATCTAACAAAACTAGACTTATTTTTAAAACAAGAATAGTCTTACTTTGATTATGATAAAAAATGATGGTTACTACAGAGAGAAATTTTATCTTTCAAAGGAAAAGTATAACACAGCCGGGCATGGTGGCACATGCCTATAATTACAGCCCTTTGGAAGGCCAGGAGTTCAACATCAGCCTGGGCGACATGGTGAAACCCCGTCTCTACCAAAAATACAAAAATTAGATGGGCATGACGGCATGTGCCTGTAGTCCCAGGTAATCAGGAGGCTGAGGAGGGAGGATCGTTTGCACCCAGGAGGTAGAGGTTGCAGTGAGCTGAGATTGCACCTTTGCACTCCAGCCTGGGTGACAGAGCCAGACCCTGTCTCAAAAAAAATTTTTTTAAAGGAAAACTATAGCCATTGTGAGTTATCAGATTCTAGTCTTGTTTCTTGTTTCTGGGCTATTTTTACCTCTTTGTAAACTGGATCCTGCCATCTGATGAATTTTGTCCCACAATGATACTTGGGGAACAAGAAGCCAAGTATTGTCTCTCCTACTAATGTATCTATTGTCAGTTAATTTGAAGGTCTCCAACCCTGGAACAAAGTTAGAAGAGGAAGGTTCTGCTCCCCAAAATGCATAACCAAATTGTGCTACATTCATGTAATGGAATACTATTTAGCCATAGAAAGGAACAAGATATCAACACACACAAAGACATGAGTGAATCTTGCATGCACATTGCTAAGTGGAAGAAGACAGTCTGAGGAGGATACACACAGTGTGACCTCATTTAATGAGACACTGGAGAAGGCAAACTACACAGATGGGAAGCCATTGGCTCCATGGGGTGGGGGTTTGAGGCATTCCATTTGATACTTTAATAGTGGGTTATCTGCCACAATACATTTGTCGAAATATGCAGAATTTTACAGCCAAATGGTTAAAGCAAACTCTATTCAAATTAAATCAAATTACTCAGGATGTGGAGTATCCCAGGACAGAATACATCATGTGAAAAAGAATTTATGCTACAAATTACTATGGTTTGGATGTGGTTTGTCCCCACAAAAACTCATGTTGAAATTTGACTCCCACTGGGTCAGTGTGGGGCGGTGGGGCCTAGTGGACGGTGTTTGGATCATGGGGACGGATCCCTCATGAATAGATTAATGTCCTCCATGGGGGTGAGTGAGTTCTGTTCTCACAGGAATAGATAATTCCTGCAGGAGTAAGTAATTAAAAAGAGTCTGGCTTCCTTGGCTTCCCTCTTGCTTTCACTTCTGCTATGTGATCTCTGGTGCACCCCTTGCTCCCCTTCCACTTTCCACCATGAGGTGAAAAAGACTGAGGCCCTGCCAGATGCAACTGCCCAATCTCAGACATTCCAGCCACCAGTATTGTGAACCAAATGAAACTTTTTTACTTATAAATTGCGCAGCCTCAGGTATTCTGTTACAGAAGCACAAAATGGACTAAGACACAAATCTAGGTAAAAACTTTGAAAATGAATAGAATCTGTAGGCTGAAGGCACATGAACTATACTTCATTATTGGATTCCATTTTATAAAGTTCTTTCCAAAAGAAGCAATTGTGAACAATTGTAAAACCACAGTGTCTGTATCTGGAATAAAACAATGACTTACATAAGTCGCAGATGGTGGGAACCAGGTTTCTTACTGTTGAAGTGGGAGGTTACAAATTAGCAAGGCGAGAAGGCTAGAATGATTCATGTGATAGTAGATCAGAGGTGGAGACATCAACGTAAACTTATGTTTAGTTTAATATAGACACACACAGTTCTACATAGAAAACTTTATAATTAGGTGTGTATAGGTAGGTTAGACACACACATATACTTCCTAGCATTGCCAATGAGGGAGAAGATACAATGTGCTCATTCAGCAGCCAGATGTAAGTTTTCCTACCATTCTGAAAGGAATCAGGCTCTTTGAAGAAATGTCTGATACTAGAACTGGGACAGTAAATATAGGAACCAGGATAATCTGGAAGTATCAGAAAGTAAGTACTAAAAAAATTAAAACATATCAAAGAAAAATAAAAGCCAATAAAAACAGCTACTGATGGCCAACACAGGAATGAATTGTGCAACATAATACTGTAGAGTTGAATAATAACTAAAGCTTAAAGTAATTATCTAGGTGTCTGTATTTGTATACCTCGGTGAATAAGCAAATGGAGTTGCATAGAAATCTCCTTTGCAAAAGAATTCCAAATAATTGATGTAGACACTCAGCCGTCAAGAAGGTGGAGCCAACTCCTTACGGAGTGAGGCTCTGCATAGTGACTTGCTCCAAAAGAACACATGCAGTACGGACAAGGAGGAGAAATAGCCTCACAGTGGAGAAACCTGACAAACATTAGCTCTGCCAAATGATCCAAGTGAACATCAAAGGTGACAGTTCAACTTGAGAACATGAAGTGACAATGGGGGACATTCTACAACATTCCTGACCAATCCTCCTCAGTGCTATGAAGGTCATCATGAGATGGAAAGCCTGACACACTGTCACAGCCAGGAAGAGCCCACGTGATGTCTACATGTCATGCGGGATCCTGGATGGGATCCTGGGTCAGAGTAAGATAGAACTAAGGGAATCCAAATGAAATATGAACTTCGGTTAATAATAGTCTATCAGTATTGGTTCATTAACTGTGACAAATTATGTAAGATATTAATAAGCCATGTGAGACACACTGATAGAAGATGTTAATAAGAGAGGAAACTAGGTTGCGGCTACATGGGAAATCTCTGCTTTTTTTTGACAATTTCTGTGTAAGTAAAAAAGATGATGTAAAATAAAACTTTATTTAAAACACTGTTTTTTTTGAACACTTCCTTGTTTAATTATTTATACCATGAATTACTAGTAATTGACACTGTTAACTAGTCCTGTTTTTTTAAATAAGAGTATTTATGACACAAAAAATTAAACAGTGCAGACTGATACATAAATCAAATGTTCTTTACATGTTTTCTGTTGCAGTAGTAACACATATGTGTAAACTTAATTATCACGTTTTTCTTGTGCAGTGGTTGTGTCCTGAGTTCATTCTCTAAAATGCTGTTCACCTTAGACCAGGAAAAATATTAACCATACAGACTTTGTTTTAATTCATAGCTAAATATTTTCAAAAGAGTGACTTTGTAAAAATATGTTCCAATGGCAAATTGATTCATTGTGATGGGATCACTTATTCCAAAGACTTCCTGTCTTTATTTTGTTGCCATGCCTACCTTTTAGCCATGATAAAACAGAATCAAATATTGGCCACTGGGAAAAAATATTCAAAGCAAGAAAGAATGTGAACAGAACTTATGACCATGATGATTCAATGTTTTACCACAATGCTTTCTAAAACAGAAGAGTGTAAAAGGATATTCAAAGTCAATTTCCTCAGCAAGGCTTTGCAGAAAATGAGGAAACTACAGAAACAAAAATGGCAGGACATTCTACGGGTGATTTTAAATGTTGCTATGTTTTATGGGAAAAAATACTTTACCTTTTAAAGAATCACAAAGAATTATTGGAAACCCAAACTCTGGAATGTTTGCAAATTTAGTTGAGCTTCTATGTAATTATGTCTATATAGGTAGCCAGGAAGTTGATGATTTTTTAAAAATCTGTGCCTTATTTGTGTGATAAAATACACAATGAATAATTAATGCTCATAGGAAAACCTTATGAAGGGAAAATAAATCTTGGGGACCCAAAATCACTAAGCTAAAGGGAAAAGTCAAGCTGGGAACTGCTTAGGGCAAACCCGCCTCCCATTGTATCCAAAGTCACCCATCTGCTCACCGAGATAAATGCATACCTGATTGCCTCATTTGGAGAGGGTAATCAGCAATGCAAAAGAATGAAACCATTTGTCTCTTACCTACCTATGACCTGGAAGCCCCCTGTCTGGCCTTCTCACCTTTCTGGACTGAACCAATGTACATCTTACACGTATTGATTGATGTCTCATGTCTCCCTAAAGTGTATAAAACCAAGCTGTGCCCCTACCACCTTGGGCCCATGTTGTCAGGACCTCCTGGGGAGGCATCACGGGTGCACATCCTCAAGATTGGCAAAATAAACTTTCTAAAAAATCTGAGAGCTGTCTCAGATTTTCAGGGTTCACACATGTAATGTAGGATGTCAATGTTTATAAAACAGACATTATTCTATCTACTATTAGAAATATGCTGCCAATTAACCTTACACTTTCTCAACAAAATAAAAAATGTTGATGAGGTACAAATAATATATCTAAGCTTAAATATTGTTACAAGTTTTAATATGCCTACTTTTCAATTTTTCAATACTATTTTTACTAATTTAACACTTTAAGTGAATAACTAAAACATGAATAAGTGTTTACAAGGGGTGCACATGTTTCCTCCAGCCTCTGCCTATCCCCAGCTTTCATCCCAACTGTCTTGATGGTGGCTCTAAGCATTTCTCCTTTCTCTATGCCAAGATCTCTCCCAGAAACAAACCCAAACCTTACTATATGTTATGGCACGCTATGATGATGAGCAGTGATGAGCAGCCGAAGCCTCAAGGAAGGGATGCTTTTGTAAAACAAGACTTGTAGAATATAACGTGTGAAAGTAAAGCCCATGGCAGAGCTCCCTCCTCAGCACACGGGGAGCAGACAGGAAGATTTGCCTCACCTTCCTCAATGGCCTGCAGCCACGTCTCCCAGGTCAGTCTTAAGGACAACGAAACTCTGGTCTTCACTGTGGACATGCCACACTACCAGGTGCTCCAAAGCCATGGTGACCCATCCTCGGGTGGGTCCTGAGAACAAAGCTCTGGTTCTAATCCTAACCCTAACCCTGTCCCAAGACTTTGAGCCTGAACCTAAATCCTGATCCCTACCCTGGTCCTTAATTCTGACCCTTACTTTAACCCTGACTTTGATCTTGACCCTGACCATGACCCCACCTCTAACCATACTTCCGGCCCTGACTCTGACCCAGATCCTAATCCTATGCCTAACCCTATTATTATCTTTACAATCTATCTCTACTCTTACCCTCTAGTGCTAAATAGCTGTACCCAAAAGCACTTTTAAATTATTTCTTTTCTTGAATTCTCTATGGACATCCTAAAGGAGATGTCAATATGTATTGCATTCCCTCTGAGTGGTATGGCTTCAGATATGAAGTTCTAATACTTTGCAAGACATAAAAAGTTTGGAGGGTAACAGCACTGGGTTGTTAGGGATGTATGTTGGCATTCATGATAGTCATTGGTGTTGTTCTCCAAATATTTTCAGTTCATTTTTTATGAATGCATTCTGACTGTTCCATCCCACCTACTTAAATTTTCCCATGGCCACATGACTTTTTTTTTTTTTTTTTTTTTTTTTTTTTTGCCAATGGAGGTGAGAAGAAATAACATGTGACTTTTTCAGGAGAAATCTCCAAGAAACAGCGTTCTATTCCACATGCTTTTTTCTCTTTTCTATAGCAATGGGGATCTTATTGACAGTCCCTCCTTCCTTCTGGATTCCTGTGTTAGGATGACACAGCACAGAGCTACCTCTCACCTGACCAGTCATGAGATGTAAATAAATGAGGAAGAAGATTTTTGAGCCACTGAAATTTGAAGGTTGTTTGTCACCACAGTTTAAGCTAGCCCCCACTGACTGATGCACGGCTGAAGAATGAGTCCGAACTGGCTCTGGACAAGACATGTGAAGAGCGCTCCAGGCTGAGTAAAATTCAAGGGTTGCCTCAAAGATAACAGTGAGCACGATATGTTATTGGGGTGGGTGTGGGATAAATAAGGTATATCAGGTGAGAATAAGAATAAACTCAACTTTAAAAGACGGCGCTGATTTGCACTGTGGAGAGATTCAAATGCCCTGCTTAGCATTTGAGATTGTGATGGATGAACAAACTAATTAAGAGCCCAAAATGAAAGCTGGGGATAAATATCTGAAGGTGTCTAATATCCCAATTTTTCATCCTAGAATGGGCAGAGTCCTTGACCCCATTCTAGGGAGACTTCCAAAAGAAAAAAGACCTGCATTTCTTCAACAACCCACACTGAGAGACTTTCCTGTACTTTTGACCTGTGGCTAACACTCCTCACCTTTCATTCTGTCATCAGTGTTTTGGGGAAGCACCTTTATCTCTCTGATTTACAGGTTATTAAGTGGCCCTTACAATTCCCTCCAGAGATGGAAAAGACATGATGGTGTCTGACCTCACAGCAGCAAGCAAGCATGTGTGCTCAGAAGCCACATGGCTCATCTGCTAGGAGCTTACTAAATACGATGTTCTACAACATTGCCTAACACAAGGGGAGACGCTCCTGACTCACAGTGTTTAATTGCTCATCTACTTCATTTTCTGCCCTCTTGGGCTTATAAAATGAAAAGAACCCTGGGGTGATACAGTGAATCAAAGGGGTGCCAGCCACATCACAGCAAAATAGATTCCTAAAAGATCCCTGGCCTAAGATGACAGTCTTGGCTGGATACGTTTGAATGTGCTCATAGTGGATGTGGTAGAATGAAGCTGGTTGAAATGTTCATATTAAAGAACTTCCACCCAGATTGCAAAAAGAGAGAGAGGAATGGAGATGGCAGCACAAGTCCCTACATAAAAGCAGATGTTTTGAGATCAGTTATATTTCTTCTGACAAAAATTGAAGACAGAAACGAAAGTTTAGCCTGAGACTACAATTAATTGGGCAATAAGCCAGAGGCACATATGGCATAGGCAGATTTAAACATTTCTCCCTTATATTAATACAAATACTAAAATTACAAATACTTTGATTCCAAATAAAACAAATATTTTAAAAATTTAATGAATAAATACTAGGGTCTACAGTAGTATTTGAAGGAGATCTCACAAACAGGTTTGGTTTTTGAAGGTTAGAACTAGTGGTCTGGAGAATTCATTTCATTCCGAGACAGAAAGAGGAATTTCTTGGGTTCCTTCAGGAATGCGTCTAGTTTTGCCTCATCTTTGTTTGAACTATAGATACAGCAGAAGAAAACATGAGGATTTCACAGATTTAAGGTGCAAAAAGTCACTGGGTTCTCTAAGAAGTCTGGGATTCTTCTGCTGGAAAAATAAGTTTGTTGAGAAAAAATGAGTTGGAGGAGGCTGTTATTGAAGTGAAGCAGAATTGTTTTTACTAATCTGCTTATTACCCACTCTGTAATGTGGAAACAAATTATTCACTCACAAGGTCCTCTTACTGTTCCTAGAATGCAGTGGAAAGAGAAAAGATTAGTTTTTCTCCCTCAGAACACAACCACTAGAAACATTCTACCTCAGATGAGATATTGCTTAATTATTTTCAAAAGACAGTGAAAAATCATGGATGTAAATGTTTGCTGCAAAATAAATACACGCTAGAAACAGAAGCATCTCAGTCACAGCTATATTAGAGCTACCTGTGTTCCCCTGTCACTGAGATTAAAACAAAAATGTCCAATACAATCATTCACAGCATGGGAAAGGGGAAGTTGAAGGATGGAAAGGCCAGGCATAAAAGGATTTCAGAATTTCTGTCCATAAGGAAGTGGATTTGTGCATTGTCTGTTACTGTGTGCAAGGTGAAGTTTGGAGAATGAAAACGTGCAGTAACAAGGGCTCCTTTGTCCATCTCACCTCTCCAGATACCACGTTTCAGACATGTTGCATTTCACTTGAAAGGTTGATATAATTCTTTTAAAAGAACACTTGCGGTGTTTGAAGCGACAAAGGCTGCTGTGACAAAAAAGCAGTGAAAGGGAATTTTTTTTAAAAAAAGCAAACAACAACAACAAAAACCCCACAGAAAAGCAAACAACAAACAAACAAAAAACAGAGGAAGAAGTCAAACACCCTGAGCTATGACTACTTCAAGGAAGGGGCTACAAGAGGCAGTTGGAAATTCCATTTGCTTTGCAACTGTGGGTTTTCCAGCCTGCTTCCTTTCTAAAGTATATTACTCTGCTTTTGGTTCATGAAATTTTCAGTTTCTGTTTTCTGGAACAGCTATGTACTTTCTTTATCTATCATCTATCTATCTACCTTCCTATCATCTATCTATCTGTTTACTATCTGTCTTTTCTACCTTTTGCTATCAAAAGCTTGGGTCAAGCAGTATAGAATTCCAGTGTATGTTCACTCTACCATTTAAAACAAGAACTCTTGTAGGAATTCTCCATCACATCATAAACCTGAGCTTTCTAAAACAAGGTGTGGCAAACTACCATACATGGACTATGTCTGACACAGTCTGCGTTTGTAAGTAAAGTTGTAATGGGACACAGCCACATACATGTGTTATATAACGTCTCTGGCTACTTTCATGGTATAATGGAAGAGCTGAGTCATTGAGAGAGAGACCATATGGCTTGGAAAATTTAAAATATTTAACATTTAGCCCTTTGCAGAAAATATTTGCTGACTCTTGTTTTAAAAGATCTCTGTGGCCAGGCGTGGTGGCTCACGTCTGTAATCCCAGCACTTTGGGACGCCGAGGCTAGCGGATCACGAGGCCAGGAGATCAAGACCATCCTGGCTAACCCAGTGAAACCTCGTCTCTACTAAAAATACAAAAAAATTAGCCGGGTGTGGTGGCGGGCGACTGTAGTCCCAGCTACTCCAGAGGCTGAGGCAGGAGAATGGTGTGAACCTGGGAGGAGGAGCTTGCAGTGACCCGGGATCGTGTCACTGCATTCCAGCCCGGGCAACAGAGCAAGACTCCATCTCAAAAAAAAAAAGGATCTCTGTTTAGAATGCTACCTATTGCCTTCTGGATAGAATCACAACTCTTTACCACAAACAACACAGCTTCAGCCCTGCTTCTATATCCAGCCTCATCTATTTCTGCTCCTCCTCCTTATTTTCCTCCTGGACATGCTGATGGATTGTCAGCTTCCCAGATGTGTGAGAGTCTCTCCTGCCTTCCTAACATTCTCATGCTCTCCCTCTGCCTCTCAAGAAATTCCTGCCACATCTCTCAAGACAAATCCCTTCTTCATTCTTTAAGATGAAGCCCCTTTGCTCCTTCCTTAAGGATGTCTGTCTGGCTTCATTTTGGGGGACGTGCTCCTTCTGCATCTCCCAGAGCCAGCCTGTGTGTGTCAGCTACAACATTTCTTTGCATCTCTGTGTCATATATCACCAAATCTGCCTAAGCTTGAGTGAGTCACTGCATGACAATTTCAGACTCCACCAGCAATGTCCCCACTAACCACGAGGCTTAGACAGTTGTCCAGTATGCTGCGGGTTGTGGGGTGGTAGCAGTAACCAGCTGGTGAGCATCATTTCTTACATCAGAATCAAATCTGTAGATCTCTGCTATTCATAAGTATTTGGAGTTTAAAATTAACATATTTTCCTTAAAATAAGAACAAATGGCTTGAGTAGGCTTTTGGAACGTAGGATGTTTCCATTGGTTCATTTCTGTGTTCAGTATTCCCATATGAATCTAAACACTACTCTGCTATTAGTAGCTGTGTGACCCTGGGAAAGTCACTCAATCTCCCTCAGCTAAATTTTGTTGTGTGTGTAATGAGAAGAGAGTTGTGATTTGTATTTAGTGAATAAAAACAAACAAAAAGCATTTAGCTTTCTGGAACCTGGTATGTAGTAGAACCTCATGTAAATACTAGCTCTGTTGATAAAACTAGACCAAAAGAAGGTTTCAAGGTCAACAACAGTATGAGGCAGTGAAGAACATAGAGGAGAAGCTGCTTCTGCAGCCTGTAGCTCCTGGGGAACCGTTTTGTCCATGATTTAGCAGGAACACACTACCTTTCCATGAGGAGAAACTGTCCACAGAAACCAAGGCCATTCTTTGAAGACAAACATGTCTTAATAGCCTATACATTAAGTAATAGTGTAATATAAATAATAATTTATTATTAGTAATAATGTGAAATTATTTACACTACCCTAACCCTAAACCTAACCCCAATCCTAACCCTAACCCTAACCCTAAAACCTAACCCTAACCCTAACTGTAACCCATAACCCTAACCCTAACCCTAAACCTAACCCAGCCCTAACCCCTAACCCTAACCCCTAACCCTAACCAGTAACCCTAACCCTAACTCTTAACCTGAACCCGAATCCAAACTTGAACCTGAACCCTAAGCCTTACCCTAAGCCTAAGCCTAACCCCTAACCCTAACCCTAACCCTAAACCTAATGCTCACCCTAACCCTAACCCTCACCCTAACCCTCACCCTCACCATTGTGACATATTGCAGGAAACAAAATCCAGGTGATGTAACTCTTGTCTAGCCTCTGCCTACAGGAGGCATTGTGACATATCTCTACACTGATCACACAGGTGATGGAACTCTTGTCTAGGCTCTGCCTATGGGGGCACTGTGATAGATCTCTGCACTGATCACCCAAGTGATGTAATAATTGTCTACACTCTGTCTACGGCAGCTTTGACATATGTCTGCACTGATGACCCAGATGATGTAACTCTTGTCTAGTCTTTTCCTATGTGGGTTTTGTGACTTCTCTCTGCACTGATCGCCCAGATGATGTAACTTTTGTCTAGGCTCTGCTTACTTGGGGGATTGTGACATATCTCTGCAAAGATCACCCAGATGATGTAACTCTCCTCTAGGCTCTGCCTACTGGGGGCATTGTTGCATATCTCTGCACTGATCACCCAGGTGATGTAACTCTTGTGTTGGATCTGCCTATGGGGGCATTGCAACATATTTCTGCACTGATCACCCAGGTGATGTAACTCTTGTCTAGGCTCTGTCTACTGGGAGCATTGTGACATATTTCTGCACTGATCACCCAGGTGATAGGACTCTTGTCTAGGCTCTGCCTACTGGAGCATTGTGACATATCTCTGCCCTTATGACCCAGGTGATGTAACTCTTGTCTAGGCTCCGCCCACAGGGGGCATAGTGACATATCACCGTACTGATCATCCAGGTAATATAATTCTTATCTAGGCTCTGCCTACAGGGGGCATTGTGAAATATCTCTGCACTGATCATCTAGGTGATGTAACTCTTGTCTATACTCTGCCTGCAGGGACATTGTGAGATATCTCTGCACTGATCAACCAGGTGATGTAACTCTTGTCTAGGCTCTGCTTACGGGGGTATTGTGACATAGCTCTGCACTGATCACCTAAGTGATGTAACACTGGTGTAGGCTCTGCCTACATGGGCATTGTGACACATCTCTGAACTGATCAACCAAGTGATGTAACTCTTGTCTAGGCTCTGCCTATGGGGGCTTTGTGACATATCTCTGCACTGATCACCTTGGTGATGGGACTTTTGTCTACGCTCTGCCTATTGGGGCATTGTGACATATCTCTACACTGATCACCCAGGTGATGTAACTCTTGTGTTGGATCTGCCTATGGGGGCATTGCGACATATTTCTGCACTGATCACCCAGGGGATGGGACTGTTGTCTAGGCTCTGTGTATGGGGGCCTTGTCACATATCTCTGCACTGATCACCCAGGCGATGGAACACTTGTCTAGGCTCTGCCTACATGGGCATTGTGACACATCTCTGAACTGATCAACAAAGTGATGTAACTCTTGTCTAGGCTCTGCCTACAGGGGCTTTGTGACATATCTCTGCACTGATCACCCAGGTGATGGGACTTTTGTCAAGGATATGGCTACAGGGACATTGTGACATATCTCTGCACTGATCACCCAGGTGATGTAACCCTTGTCTAGGCTCTGCCAAAAAGGGGCATTGTGACATAACTCTGCACTGATCACCCAGGTGATGGGACTCTTGTCTAGGCTCTGCCTACAGGGGCATTGTGATATATCTCTGCAGTGATCACGCAGGTGATGTAACTCTTGTCTATATCTGCCTACTGGCGGCATTGTGGCATATTTCTGCACTGATCACCCAGGTGATGGACTCTTGTCTTGGATCTGCCTATGGGGGCATAGTGACATAACTCTGCAATGATCACTCATGTGATGTAACGCTTGTCTAAGCTGTGCCTAAAGGGGAATTGTGACACATATCTCCACTGATCACCCAGGTGATGTAACAATTTTCTGGGATTTGTCTACAGGGGGCTTTGTGACATATCTTTGCACTGATCACCCAGGAGATGTAACTCTTGTCTAGACTCGACCTACAGGGGCTTTGTGACATATTTCTGCACTGATAACCCAGGTGATGTAACTCTTGTCTAGGCTCTGCCTACAGGGGCTTTGTGACATATTTCTGTACTGATCACCCAGGTGATGTAACTCTTGTCTAGGCCCCACCTACAGGGGGTATTGTGACGTATCTCTGCAATGATCACCCAGGTGATGTAACACTCATCTAGGCTCTGCCTACAGGGGCGTTTTGACATAGCTCTGCACAGATCATCTAGGTGATGTAACTCTTGTCCACTCTCTGCCTACAGGGGGCATTGTGAAATATCTCTGCACTGATCACCCAGGTGATGGGACTCTTCTCTATACTCTGCCTAGAGGGGGATTTGTGACATATCTCTGCACTGATCACCCAGGTGATGGAAGTCTTGCCTAGGCTCTGTCTATGGGGGCATTGTGTCAAATATCTGCACTGATCACCCAGGTGAAGTAACTCTTGTCTAGGCTCTGTCTACAGGGATTTTTGTGACATATCACTGCACTGATCACCTAGGTGATGTAAACCTTGTATGGGCTTTGCCTACAGAAGGCTTTGTGACATATCTATGCACTGATCTCTGAGGTGATTCAACTCTTGTCTAGGCACTGCCTACAGGGGACACTGGTACATATCTCTGCACTGATCACCCAGGTGATGGACGCTTGTCTTAGATCTGCCTACATGGACATTCTGACACATCTCTGAACTGATCAACCAAGTGATGAAACTCTTGTCTAGGCTCTGCCTACAGGGGCTTTGTGACACATCTCTGCACTGATCATCCTGAGGAGGGAACTCTTGTCTACGCTCTGCCTACAGGAGGCTTTATGACTAATAATTACACTGATAAACTAGGTGATGTAACACTTGTCTAGGCTCTGCCTACACGGGAATTCTCACATATCTCTGCACTGATAACCTAGGTGATGTAACACTTGTCTAGGCCCTGCCTACAAGGGAATTCTCACGTATCTCTGCACTGATCCCCCAGGTGATGTAACTCCTGTCTAGGTTCAGCCTACAGGAGCGTTTTGACATATCTCTGCACTGATCACCCAGATGATGTAACACTTGTCTCAGCTCTGCCTACAGGGGCATTGTGACAGATCTCTCCAATGCTCACTCAGGAGATGTAAAAATTGTCTGGGCTTTGTCTACAGGGGGCTTTGTGATATATATTTCCACTGATCAAACAGGTGATGTAACCCTTGTCAAGGTTTGGCTTATAGGGGCTTTGTGAGATATCTCTGCACTGATCAGCCCAGGCAGGGAACACTTGCCTACACTCTGCCTACAGGAGGCTTTATGACTTATCCCTGCACTGATCACTAGGTGATGTAACAATTGTCTAGGCTCTGTCTACACGAGAATTTTAACATATCTCTACACTGATCACCTAAGTGATGTAACCATTCTCTAGGTTCAGTCTACTATGGAGTTCTGAAACACATCTGCACTGATCACCGAAGTTATGTAAATCAATTTCAGGCTTTTTCTACAGGGGATATTGTGACATATCTCTGCACTGATCACACAAAAGATGCAAATCCTCTATAGGATCCACAGGGAGGGGGAATTTTGATATATCTCTGAACTAATCATCCAGGAGATGTAACTCTAATCCAGGTTTGCCTAGACAGCCTCGGAAGGTGGGGGGAGAGATTCAGCCAGAATTTCACGGACGAACAAGGGCACAGAGAGGCCAGCGAGCTCCCTTGCACGTCACCCGGGGTGCGCACTGCGCGCAGGTCTAGCCAGGAAGCGGGCAAAGACAGACAGAGGTATGCTTTTGACCGCCAGGCGCTCCGTGCTGGCACCTGGGCGGCTGCAGGGGCCCGGGCGGGCGGGCGACGGTGGCGCGGGGGCGCAGAGGAGGCGAGCCGCCGGAGCGGTGTCAGGCCCGGACGCTGCGCGGGGCCCGGTGTTTCGCGGGACGGGGGTCTCCACCCAGCCCAGGGGACGACGCGTTTTCCGGGGGCGGGGGGTGGGGGTGGGGAGGGGGCGGTCAGGCGGCGGGGTGGGCTGGTGGAGAGGCAGGAGAGCTCTGCCCGGGCTGCTCCCACAGCCCAGGCGGCTGCCCGCAAACCCGCGCGTGCGCAGTAGGCGGCCCACCTGCTGGTACCTGGGCCGGCTCTGGGATCCCCGGGATGCCCAGGAAAGAATGGCAGTTCTCCGCTGTGTGGAGTCTCTCACCGGGCCTAGGCCTAGAAGGCAGGAATCCCAGGCCGGTCAGCCCGGTGGAGGGGGCGGGGCGGAGACACGCCCCTCCGTAGCCAGCCAGGCGTTCCCCGCGAAAGAGAGGCCACCGCCCTGCCCCGAACCACCCGACCCCGTCCCAACCCCGCGTCCTAAAGCTCCTCCAGCAGAGCCCGGTATTCTTCCTCGCTGAGGGGTGCTTCCAGCGAGGCGGCCTCTTCCGAGGCCTCCAGCTCCCCCGGGGCCTCCGTTTCTAGGAGAGGTTGCGCCTGCTGCAGAAACTCCGGGCTCGCCAGGAGCTCATCCAGCAGCAGGCCGCAGGGGAGTGCAGACCAGGGCGCCGGCTCCTGGAGCGCCTGGGAGGGCGCCGGGATGCCTTGCATCTGCCCCTGCCGCGCGGAGGCGTCCGGGGGCGCGGGCTGGGGAGGTGGAGCTGCCCCGGCTTGGGGTTCCCACGCCGCCCCGGCGACCTGGGGACCCCGGCCCCAGCCCCACCACGGACTCCCCTGGGACGTGGGTGGCGCAAGCACCCCTTGGCCCTGCGGCCCCGCTTGAGCGGGCCCAGGCTGTGCCACCGCGCAGGGGCCCGGCAGGCCGTCGCGCTGCGGGTCCCGGTCCTCCCGGCTTTTGCCCGGGTGCGGAGGCCACCGAGGAGCCTGAGGGTGGGAGAGCGCCCCGTCCGGAGGAGCCGGGGCGGCGTAGGCGAAATCCCCGCGCGCCGGGGCAGGTTGGGAGATCCCCTCTGCCGGCGCGGCCTGGCTGGGCTGCAGCGCGGGGGCGGCCCTCGCTGCCTGGCTCACGAAAGCCCCCTGTGGGAGAGCCCCAGGCGCGCAGGGCACGTGGGGTGCGGGAAGCCCCGTTCCCCACGCGCCGGTGTGGGCGAAGGCGACCCACGAGGGAGCAGGGTGACCCCCGCCGGGGGCCGCGCTGCACAGGCCGCCTGCCTGCGCGGGCGCCCTGCCACCCTGTCCCGGGTGCCTGGCCCTTCGATTCTGAAACCAGATCTGAATCCTGGACTCCGGGAGGCCCGTCTCTCTGGCCAGCTCCTCCCGGGCGGCGATGCCTGGAAAGCGATCCTTCTCAAAGGCTCGGAGGAGCAGGGCGGTCTGGGATCCGGTGACGGCGGTCCGCTTTCGCCGGCCTTCTGGCGGGCCGCGTCTCCCGGGCCAGGGCCGAGATTCCCGCCGGTGCTGCCTCAGCTGGCGTGACCTCTCATTCTGAAACCAAATCTGGACCCTGGGCTCCGGAATGCCGATGGCCTGGGCCAGCCGTTCTCTGGTGGCGATGCCCGGGTACGGGTTCCGCTCAAAGCAGGCTCGCAGGGCCTCGCTTTGGCTCGGGGTCCAAACGAGTCTCCGTCGCCGTCCTCGTCCCCGGGCTTCCGCGGGGAGGGTGCTGTCCGAAGGTGTCGGGAGGGCCATCGCGGTGAGCCCCGGCCGCAATTTCACGGACGGACGCGGGCAGAGAGAGGCCGGCGGGCTCCCGTGCACCTCAGCCGGACTGTGCACTGCGGCAGGTGCAGCCAGGAGGCCTGCCCGGACAGCCAGCCAGCCAGCCAGCCGCCCTTGTAAAGGCCCACGGGCAGGCAGGCTCCACCCCTTCATGAATGGCGGTGAGCCCCCCTGGGACAGCCCGCCCCACCCCGGAAGGGACCCAGGGCGTCGAGGCCTGGGGCCGGCCGGCGGGGTGGTGGTGGTGGTGGTGGTGGGGGGGGGGTGGTGGTGGGGGAGGGCGTGGTGGCGGTGGTGGTGGTGGGGCCGGAGAGACGAAGAGGAAGGTGGAGAGGGGGGAGGGGGGAGGGGGGCGCGTTTCGGGGGCCGGCTCTCCGGACCTCTCCAGGGATCCCGCGGGAACGGGAAGCCGCTCTCTGGGCTCCCACGCGTCGGCAGCAGGGAGAAACCAGCCTGGGAGGGTGGAGGGGAGTGTGGAACTGAACCTCCGTGGGAGTCTTGAGTGTGCCAGGCCCTCTCTCCGTGAAGGAGGCAATGCCTGTGGGCGTCGCCGTTGCCGGGACGGTCTCGCACACGCAGGCGTGTGGCTCTCGTTCATTTCCACGTAGAAGACCAGAGCGAGACCCCAGAGAGGAGATGCCTCCCCGGCGTGATGGCCTGACGATGGATTCCCGCGTGCGGCAACGTGGGGAGTCTGCAGTGTGGCCGGTTTGGAACCTGGCAAGGAGAGCGAAGGCACCGTGCCGGGCTTGCACCCTCCCCTGCATGTTTCCGGGTGCCCGCAGAGCTCCGGGAGCAAACAGTCGGCATGGCCAGCCTTTCGGGGGCCGGAGAGACGTGAGCAACAGGCCGCCTTGCAGAGGGCAAAGCCACGCGGAAACCAAAATCACGCCTCCGTCGTCCTGCGTGTGGCTCCTCCGTGGCCGGGGCTGTCGGCCTCGCGCCGCGTTGCAGGGCTCAGCCTGGGGATGTGCGGTCTGTGAACCGCGCGGGTGAAAACCCGACGGCAACCCGAGTCCCGGTCTTTTGTCCCGGAGGAAACCGCCCACTCCCTGGGCCCCGGAACCGGGGCGAATGGGTGGTGCCCCGCCGGCCGGCGCGGCGGCTGTGGGCCCAGCCCTCAGCCCGCGCCGGACGCTGACCGTTTTCCCGGAGGGCGGGGGTCCCGCTACTCCCGGAGGCCGAAGACCGCTTTTCCTCCCTGCCTTCCTCCCCCCGTCCCCGGCTCCCTCCCGCCCGCCCCCAGTCCCTGCGTCGCTCTGTCTTTCCCTCCGTTCCTCCCTGCCTCCCTGCCTCCCTGCCTCCCTCCCTCCCTCCTAACGTCCCTCCGCCCATCCTTCCGCCCCTCTAGGTCTCCCGTTCCTCTCTCCATCTCTGCCCGCCTTCCCTCCCGCCTGGAACGCTCAGCGTCCCCGGTGTGCGCCGGGCCTGGGGTCTGCGTTCCGCCGCCAGGCGCTCCGTGCTGGCACCTGGGCGGCTGCAGGGGCCCGGGCGGGCGGGCGACGGTGGCGCGGGGGCGCAGAGGAGGCGAGCCGCCGGAGCGGTGTCAGGCCCGGACGCTGCGCGGGGCCCGGTGTTTCGCGGGACGGGGGTCTCCACCCAGCCCAGGGGACGACGCGTTTTCCGGGGGCGGGGGGTGGGGGTGGGGAGGGGGCGGTCAGGCGGCGGGGTGGGCTGGTGGAGAGGCAGGAGAGCTCTGCCCGGGCTGCTCCCACAGCCCAGGCGGCTGCCCGCAAACCCGCGCGTGCGCAGTAGGCGGCCCACCTGCTGGTACCTGGGCCGGCTCTGGGATCCCCGGGATGCCCAGGAAAGAATGGCAGTTCTCCGCTGTGTGGAGTCTCTCACCGGGCCTAGGCCTAGAAGGCAGGAATCCCAGGCCGGTCAGCCCGGTGGAGGGGGCGGGGCGGAGACACGCCCCTCCGTAGCCAGCCAGGCGTTCCCCGCGAAAGAGAGGCCACCGCCCTGCCCCGAACCACCCGACCCCGTCCCAACCCCGCGTCCTAAAGCTCCTCCAGCAGAGCCCGGTATTCTTCCTCGCTGAGGGGTGCTTCCAGCGAGGCGGCCTCTTCCGAGGCCTCCAGCTCCCCCGGGGCCTCCGTTTCTAGGAGAGGTTGCGCCTGCTGCAGAAACTCCGGGCTCGCCAGGAGCTCATCCAGCAGCAGGCCGCAGGGGAGTGCAGACCAGGGCGCCGGCTCCTGGAGCGCCTGGGAGGGCGCCGGGATGCCTTGCATCTGCCCCTGCCGCGCGGAGGCGTCCGGGGGCGCGGGCTGGGGAGGTGGAGCTGCCCCGGCTTGGGGTTCCCACGCCGCCCCGGCGACCTGGGGACCCCGGCCCCAGCCCCACCACGGACTCCCCTGGGACGTGGGTGGCGCAAGCACCCCTTGGCCCTGCGGCCCCGCTTGAGCGGGCCCAGGCTGTGCCACCGCGCAGGGGCCCGGCAGGCCGTCGCGCTGCGGGTCCCGGTCCTCCCGGCTTTTGCCCGGGTGCGGAGGCCACCGAGGAGCCTGAGGGTGGGAGAGCGCCCCGTCCGGAGGAGCCGGGGCGGCGTAGGCGAAATCCCCGCGCGCCGGGGCAGGTTGGGAGATCCCCTCTGCCGGCGCGGCCTGGCTGGGCTGCAGCGCGGGGGCGGCCCTCGCTGCCTGGCTCACGAAAGCCCCCTGTGGGAGAGCCCCAGGCGCGCAGGGCACGTGGGGTGCGGGAAGCCCCGTTCCCCACGCGCCGGTGTGGGCGAAGGCGACCCACGAGGGAGCAGGGTGACCCCCGCCGGGGGCCGCGCTGCACAGGCCGCCTGCCTGCGCGGGCGCCCTGCCACCCTGTCCCGGGTGCCTGGCCCTTCGATTCTGAAACCAGATCTGAATCCTGGACTCCGGGAGGCCCGTCTCTCTGGCCAGCTCCTCCCGGGCGGCGATGCCTGGAAAGCGATCCTTCTCAAAGGCTCGGAGGAGCAGGGCGGTCTGGGATCCGGTGACGGCGGTCCGCTTTCGCCGGCCTTCTGGCGGGCCGCGTCTCCCGGGCCAGGGCCGAGATTCCCGCCGGTGCTGCCTCAGCTGGCGTGACCTCTCATTCTGAAACCAAATCTGGACCCTGGGCTCCGGAATGCCGATGGCCTGGGCCAGCCGTTCTCTGGTGGCGATGCCCGGGTACGGGTTCCGCTCAAAGCAGGCTCGCAGGGCCTCGCTTTGGCTCGGGGTCCAAACGAGTCTCCGTCGCCGTCCTCGTCCCCGGGCTTCCGCGGGGAGGGTGCTGTCCGAAGGTGTCGGGAGGGCCATCGCGGTGAGCCCCGGCCGCAATTTCACGGACGGACGCGGGCAGAGAGAGGCCGGCGGGCTCCCGTGCACCTCAGCCGGACTGTGCACTGCGGCAGGTGCAGCCAGGAGGCCTGCCCGGACAGCCAGCCAGCCAGCCAGCCGCCCTTGTAAAGGCCCACGGGCAGGCAGGCTCCACCCCTTCATGAATGGCGGTGAGCCCCCCTGGGACAGCCCGCCCCACCCCGGAAGGGACCCAGGGCGTCGAGGCCTGGGGCCGGCCGGCGGGGTGGTGGTGGTGGTGGTGGTGGTGGTGGTGTGGGGTGGGGGGGGTGGTGGGGGAGGGCGTGGTGGCGGTGGTGGTGGTGGGGCCGGAGAGACGAAGAGGAAGGGGGAGAGGGGGGAGGGGGGAGGGGGGCGCGTTTCGGGGGCCGGCTCTCCGGACCTCTCCAGGGATCCCGCGGGAACGGGAAGCCGCTCTCTGGGCTCCCACGCGTCGGCAGCAGGGAGAAACCAGCCTGGGAGGGTGGAGGGGAGTGTGGAACTGAACCTCCGTGGGAGTCTTGAGTGTGCCAGGCCCTCTCTCCGTGAAGGAGGCAATGCCTGTGGGCGTCGCCGTTGCCGGGACGGTCTCGCACACGCAGGCGTGTGGCTCTCGTTCATTTCCACGTAGAAGACCAGAGCGAGACCCCAGAGAGGAGATGCCTCCCCGGCGTGATGGCCTGACGATGGATTCCCGCGTGCGGCAACGTGGGGAGTCTGCAGTGTGGCCGGTTTGGAACCTGGCAAGGAGAGCGAAGGCACCGTGCCGGGCTTGCACCCTCCCCTGCATGTTTCCGGGTGCCCGCAGAGCTCCGGGAGCAAACAGTCGGCATGGCCAGCCTTTCGGGGGCCGGAGAGACGTGAGCAACAGGCCGCCTTGCAGAGGGCAAAGCCACGCGGAAACCAAAATCACGCCTCCGTCGTCCTGCGTGTGGCTCCTCCGTGGCCGGGGCTGTCGGCCTCGCGCCGCGTTGCAGGGCTCAGCCTGGGGATGTGCGGTCTGTGAACCGCGCGGGTGAAAACCCGACGGCAACCCGAGTCCCGGTCTTTTGTCCCGGAGGAAACCGCCCACTCCCTGGGCCCCGGAACCGGGGCGAATGGGTGGTGCCCCGCCGGCCGGCGCGGCGGCTGTGGGCCCAGCCCTCAGCCCGCGCCGGACGCTGACCGTTTTCCCGGAGGGCGGGGGTCCCGCTACTCCCGGAGGCCGAAGACCGCTTTTCCTCCCTGCCTTCCTCCCCCCGTCCCCGGCTCCCTCCCGCCCGCCCCCAGTCCCTGCGTCGCTCTGTCTTTCCCTCCGTTCCTCCCTGCCTCCCTGCCTCCCTGCCTCCCTCCCTCCCTCCTAACGTCCCTCCGCCCATCCTTCCGCCCCTCTAGGTCTCCCGTTCCTCTCTCCATCTCTGCCCGCCTTCCCTCCCGCCTGGAACGCTCAGCGTCCCCGGTGTGCGCCGGGCCTGGGGTCTGCGTTCCGCCGCCAGGCGCTCCGTGCTGGCACCTGGGCGGCTGCAGGGGCCCGGGCGGGCGGGCGACGGTGGCGCGGGGGCGCAGAGGAGGCGAGCCGCCGGAGCGGTGTCAGGCCCGGACGCTGCGCGGGGCCCGGTGTTTCGCGGGACGGGGGTCTCCACCCAGCCCAGGGGACGACGCGTTTTCCGGGGGCGGGGGGTGGGGGTGGGGAGGGGGCGGTCAGGCGGCGGGGTGGGCTGGTGGAGAGGCAGGAGAGCTCTGCCCGGGCTGCTCCCACAGCCCAGGCGGCTGCCCGCAAACCCGCGCGTGCGCAGTAGGCGGCCCACCTGCTGGTACCTGGGCCGGCTCTGGGATCCCCGGGATGCCCAGGAAAGAATGGCAGTTCTCCGCTGTGTGGAGTCTCTCACCGGGCCTAGGCCTAGAAGGCAGGAATCCCAGGCCGGTCAGCCCGGTGGAGGGGGCGGGGCGGAGACACGCCCCTCCGTAGCCAGCCAGGCGTTCCCCGCGAAAGAGAGGCCACCGCCCTGCCCCGAACCACCCGACCCCGTCCCAACCCCGCGTCCTAAAGCTCCTCCAGCAGAGCCCGGTATTCTTCCTCGCTGAGGGGTGCTTCCAGCGAGGCGGCCTCTTCCGAGGCCTCCAGCTCCCCCGGGGCCTCCGTTTCTAGGAGAGGTTGCGCCTGCTGCAGAAACTCCGGGCTCGCCAGGAGCTCATCCAGCAGCAGGCCGCAGGGGAGTGCAGACCAGGGCGCCGGCTCCTGGAGCGCCTGGGAGGGCGCCGGGATGCCTTGCATCTGCCCCTGCCGCGCGGAGGCGTCCGGGGGCGCGGGCTGGGGAGGTGGAGCTGCCCCGGCTTGGGGTTCCCACGCCGCCCCGGCGACCTGGGGACCCCGGCCCCAGCCCCACCACGGACTCCCCTGGGACGTGGGTGGCGCAAGCACCCCTTGGCCCTGCGGCCCCGCTTGAGCGGGCCCAGGCTGTGCCACCGCGCAGGGGCCCGGCAGGCCGTCGCGCTGCGGGTCCCGGTCCTCCCGGCTTTTGCCCGGGTGCGGAGGCCACCGAGGAGCCTGAGGGTGGGAGAGCGCCCCGTCCGGAGGAGCCGGGGCGGCGTAGGCGAAATCCCCGCGCGCCGGGGCAGGTTGGGAGATCCCCTCTGCCGGCGCGGCCTGGCTGGGCTGCAGCGCGGGGGCGGCCCTCGCTGCCTGGCTCACGAAAGCCCCCTGTGGGAGAGCCCCAGGCGCGCAGGGCACGTGGGGTGCGGGAAGCCCCGTTCCCCACGCGCCGGTGTGGGCGAAGGCGACCCACGAGGGAGCAGGGTGACCCCCGCCGGGGGCCGCGTTGCACAGGCCGCCTGCCTGCGCGGGCGCCCTGCCACCCTGTCCCGGGTGCCTGGCCCTTCGATTCTGAAACCAGATCTGAATCCTGGACTCCGGGAGGCCCGTCTCTCTGGCCAGCTCCTCCCGGGCGGCGATGCCTGGAAAGCGATCCTTCTCAAAGGCTCGGAGGAGCAGGGCGGTCTGGGATCCGGTGACGGCGGTCCGCTTTCGCCGGCCTTCTGGCGGGCCGCGTCTCCCGGGCCAGGGCCGAGATTCCCGCCGGTGCTGCCTCAGCTGGCGTGACCTCTCATTCTGAAACCAAATCTGGACCCTGGGCTCCGGAATGCCGATGGCCTGGGCCAGCCGTTCTCTGGTGGCGATGCCCGGGTACGGGTTCCGCTCAAAGCAGGCTCGCAGGGCCTCGCTTTGGCTCGGGGTCCAAACGAGTCTCCGTCGCCGTCCTCGTCCCCGGGCTTCCGCGGGGAGGGTGCTGTCCGAAGGTGTCGGGAGGGCCATCGCGGTGAGCCCCGGCCGCAATTTCACGGACGGACGCGGGCAGAGAGAGGCCGGCGGGCTCCCGTGCACCTCAGCCGGACTGTGCACTGCGGCAGGTGCAGCCAGGAGGCCTGCCCGGACAGCCAGCCAGCCAGCCAGCCGCCCTTGTAAAGGCCCACGGGCAGGCAGGCTCCACCCCTTCATGAATGGCGGTGAGCCCCCCTGGGACAGCCCGCCCCACCCCGGAAGGGACCCAGGGCGTCGAGGCCTGGGGCCGGCCGGCGGGGTGGTGGTGGTGGTGGTGGTGGGGGGGGGGTGGTGGTGGGGGAGGGCGTGGTGGCGGTGGTGGTGGTGGGGCCGGAGAGACGAAGAGGAAGGTGGAGAGGGGGGAGGGGGGAGGGGGGCGCGTTTCGGGGGCCGGCTCTCCGGACCTCTCCAGGGATCCCGCGGGAACGGGAAGCCGCTCTCTGGGCTCCCACGCGTCGGCAGCAGGGAGAAACCAGCCTGGGAGGGTGGAGGGGAGTGTGGAACTGAACCTCCGTGGGAGTCTTGAGTGTGCCAGGCCCTCTCTCCGTGAAGGAGGCAATGCCTGTGGGCGTCGCCGTTGCCGGGACGGTCTCGCACACGCAGGCGTGTGGCTCTCGTTCATTTCCACGTAGAAGACCAGAGCGAGACCCCAGAGAGGAGATGCCTCCCCGGCGTGATGGCCTGACGATGGATTCCCGCGTGCGGCAACGTGGGGAGTCTGCAGTGTGGCCGGTTTGGAACCTGGCAAGGAGAGCGAAGGCACCGTGCCGGGCTTGCACCCTCCCCTGCATGTTTCCGGGTGCCCGCAGAGCTCCGGGAGCAAACAGTCGGCATGGCCAGCCTTTCGGGGGCCGGAGAGACGTGAGCAACAGGCCGCCTTGCAGAGGGCAAAGCCACGCGGAAACCAAAATCACGCCTCCGTCGTCCTGCGTGTGGCTCCTCCGTGGCCGGGGCTGTCGGCCTCGCGCCGCGTTGCAGGGCTCAGCCTGGGGATGTGCGGTCTGTGAACCGCGCGGGTGAAAACCCGACGGCAACCCGAGTCCCGGTCTTTTGTCCCGGAGGAAACCGCCCACTCCCTGGGCCCCGGAACCGGGGCGAATGGGTGGTGCCCCGCCGGCCGGCGCGGCGGCTGTGGGCCCAGCCCTCAGCCCGCGCCGGACGCTGACCGTTTTCCCGGAGGGCGGGGGTCCCGCTACTCCCGGAGGCCGAAGACCGCTTTTCCTCCCTGCCTTCCTCCCCCCGTCCCCGGCTCCCTCCCGCCCGCCCCCAGTCCCTGCGTCGCTCTGTCTTTCCCTCCGTTCCTCCCTGCCTCCCTGCCTCCCTGCCTCCCTCCCTCCCTCCTAACGTCCCTCCGCCCATCCTTCCGCCCCTCTAGGTCTCCCGTTCCTCTCTCCATCTCTGCCCGCCTTCCCTCCCGCCTGGAACGCTCAGCGTCCCCGGTGTGCGCCGGGCCTGGGGTCTGCGTTCCGCCTCCAGGCGCTCCGTGCTGGCACCTGGGCGGCTGCAGGGGCCCGGGCGGGCGGGCCACGGTGGCGCGGGGGCGCAGAGGAGGCGAGCCGCCGGAGCGGTGTCAGGCCCGGACGCTGCGCGGGGCCCGGTGTTTCGCGGGACGGGGGTCTCCACCCAGCCCAGGGGACGACGCGTTTTCCGGGGGCGGGGGGTGGGGGTGGGGAGGGGGCGGTCAGGCGGTGGGGTGGGCTGGTGGAGAGGCAGGAGAGCTCTGCCCGGGCTGCTCCCACAGCCCAGGCGGCTGCCCGCAAACCCGCGCGTGCGCAGTAGGCGGCCCACCTGCTGGTACCTGGGCCGGCTCTGGGATCCCCGGGATGCCCAGGAAAGAATGGCAGTTCTCCGCTGTGTGGAGTCTCTCACCGGGCCTAGGCCTAGAAGGCAGGAATCCCAGGCCGGTCAGCCCGGTGGAGGGGGCGGGGCGGAGACACGCCCCTCCGTAGCCAGCCAGGCGTTCCCCGCGAAAGAGAGGCCACCGCCCTGCCCCGAACCACCCGACCCCGTCCCAACCCCGCGTCCTAAAGCTCCTCCAGCAGAGCCCGGTATTCTTCCTCGCTGAGGGGTGCTTCCAGCGAGGCGGCCTCTTCCGAGGCCTCCAGCTCCCCCGGGGCCTCCGTTTCTAGGAGAGGTTGCGCCTGCTGCAGAAACTCCGGGCTCGCCAGGAGCTCATCCAGCAGCAGGCCGCAGGGGAGTGCAGACCAGGGCGCCGGCTCCTGGAGCGCCTGGGAGGGCGCCGGGATGCCTTGCATCTGCCCCTGCCGCGCGGAGGCGTCCGGGGGCGCGGGCTGGGGAGGTGGAGCTGCCCCGGCTTGGGGTTCCCACGCCGCCCCGGCGACCTGGGGACCCCGGCCCCAGCCCCACCACGGACTCCCCTGGGACGTGGGTGGCGCAAGCACCCCTTGGCCCTGCGGCCCCGCTTGAGCGGGCCCAGGCTGTGCCACCGCGCAGGGGCCCGGCAGGCCGTCGCGCTGCGGGTCCCGGTCCTCCCGGCTTTTGCCCGGGTGCGGAGGCCACCGAGGAGCCTGAGGGTGGGAGAGCGCCCCGTCCGGAGGAGCCGGGGCGGCGTAGGCGAAATCCCCGCGCGCCGGGGCAGGTTGGGAGATCCCCTCTGCCGGCGCGGCCTGGCTGGGCTGCAGCGCGGGGGCGGCCCTCGCTGCCTGGCTCACGAAAGCCCCCTGTGGGAGAGCCCCAGGCGCGCAGGGCACGTGGGGTGCGGGAAGCCCCGTTCCCCACGCGCCGGTGTGGGCGAAGGCGACCCACGAGGGAGCAGGGTGACCCCCGCCGGGGGCCGCGCTGCACAGGCCGCCTGCCTGCGCGGGCGCCCTGCCACCCTGTCCCGGGTGCCTGGCCCTTCGATTCTGAAACCAGATCTGAATCCTGGACTCCGGGAGGCCCGTCTCTCTGGCCAGCTCCTCCCGGGCGGCGATGCCTGGAAAGCGATCCTTCTCAAAGGCTCGGAGGAGCAGGGCGGTCTGGAATCCGGTGACGGCGGTCCGCTTTCGCCGGCCTTCTGGCGGGCCGCGTCTCCCGGGCCAGGGCCGAGATTCCCGCCGGTGCTGCCTCAGCTGGCGTGACCTCTCATTCTGAAACCAAATCTGGACCCTGGGCTCCGGAATGCCGATGGCCTGGGCCAGCCGTTCTCTGGTGGCGATGCCCGGGTACGGGTTCCGCTCAAAGCAGGCTCGCAGGGCCTCGCTTTGGCTCGGGGTCCAAACGAGTCTCCGTCGCCGTCCTCGTCCCCGGGCTTCCGCGGGGAGGGTGCTGTCCGAAGGTGTCGGGAGGGCCATCGCGGTGAGCCCCGGCCGCAATTTCACGGACGGACGCGGGCAGAGAGAGGCCGGCGGGCTCCCGTGCACCTCAGCCGGACTGTGCACTGCGGCAGGTGCAGCCAGGAGGCCTGCCCGGACAGCCAGCCAGCCAGCCAGCCGCCCTTGTAAAGGCCCACGGGCAGGCAGGCTCCACCCCTTCATGAATGGCGGTGAGCCCCCCTGGGACAGCCCGCCCCACCCCGGAAGGGACCCAGGGCGTCGAGGCCTGGGGCCGGCCGGCGGGGTGGTGGTGGTGGTGGTGGTGGTGGTGGTGTGGGGTGGGGGGGGTGGTGGGGGAGGGCGTGGTGGCGGTGGTGGTGGTGGGGCCGGAGAGACGAAGAGGAAGGGGGAGAGGGGGGAGGGGGGAGGGGGGCGCGTTTCGGGGGCCGGCTCTCCGGACCTCTCCAGGGATCCCGCGGGAACGGGAAGCCGCTCTCTGGGCTCCCACGCGTCGGCAGCAGGGAGAAACCAGCCTGGGAGGGTGGAGGGGAGTGTGGAACTGAACCTCCGTGGGAGTCTTGAGTGTGCCAGGCCCTCTCTCCGTGAAGGAGGCAATGCCTGTGGGCGTCGCCGTTGCCGGGACGGTCTCGCACACGCAGGCGTGTGGCTCTCGTTCATTTCCACGTAGAAGACCAGAGCGAGACCCCAGAGAGGAGATGCCTCCCCGGCGTGATGGCCTGACGATGGATTCCCGCGTGCGGCAACGTGGGGAGTCTGCAGTGTGGCCGGTTTGGAACCTGGCAAGGAGAGCGAAGGCACCGTGCCGGGCTTGCACCCTCCCCTGCATGTTTCCGGGTGCCCGCAGAGCTCCGGGAGCAAACAGTCGGCATGGCCAGCCTTTCGGGGGCCGGAGAGACGTGAGCAACAGGCCGCCTTGCAGAGGGCAAAGCCACGCGGAAACCAAAATCACGCCTCCGTCGTCCTGCGTGTGGCTCCTCCGTGGCCGGGGCTGTCGGCCTCGCGCCGCGTTGCAGGGCTCAGCCTGGGGATGTGCGGTCTGTGAACCGCGCGGGTGAAAACCCGACGGCAACCCGAGTCCCGGTCTTTTGTCCCGGAGGAAACCGCCCACTCCCTGGGCCCCGGAACCGGGGCGAATGGGTGGTGCCCCGCCGGCCGGCGCGGCGGCTGTGGGCCCAGCCCTCAGCCCGCGCCGGACGCTGACCGTTTTCCCGGAGGGCGGGGGTCCCGCTACTCCCGGAGGCCGAAGACCGCTTTTCCTCCCTGCCTTCCTCCCCCCGTCCCCGGCTCCCTCCCGCCCGCCCCCAGTCCCTGCGTCGCTCTGTCTTTCCCTCCGTTCCTCCCTGCCTCCCTGCCTCCCTGCCTCCCTCCCTCCCTCCTAACGTCCCTCCGCCCATCCTTCCGCCCCTCTAGGTCTCCCGTTCCTCTCTCCATCTCTGCCCGCCTTCCCTCCCGCCTGGAACGCTCAGCGTCCCCGGTGTGCGCCGGGCCTGGGGTCTGCGTTCCGCCGCCAGGCGCTCCGTGCTGGCACTGGGCGGCTGCAGGGGCCCGGGCGGGCGGGCGACGGTGGCGCGGGGGCGCAGAGGAGGCGAGCCGCCGGAGCGGTGTCAGGCCCGGACGCTGCGCGGGGCCCGGTGTTTCGCGGGACGGGGGTCTCCACCCAGCCCAGGGGACGACGCGTTTTCCGGGGGCGGGGGGTGGGGGTGGGGAGGGGGCGGTCAGGCGGCGGGGTGGGCTGGTGGAGAGGCAGGAGAGCTCTGCCCGGGCTGCTCCCACAGCCCAGGCGGCTGCCCGCAAACCCGCGCGTGCGCAGTAGGCGGCCCACCTGCTGGTACCTGGGCCGGCTCTGGGATCCCCGGGATGCCCAGGAAAGAATGGCAGTTCTCCGCTGTGTGGAGTCTCTCACCGGGCCTAGGCCTAGAAGGCAGGAATCCCAGGCCGGTCAGCCCGGTGGAGGGGGCGGGGCGGAGACACGCCCCTCCGTAGCCAGCCAGGCGTTCCCCGCGAAAGAGAGGCCACCGCCCTGCCCCGAACCACCCGACCCCGTCCCAACCCCGCGTCCTAAAGCTCCTCCAGCAGAGCCCGGTATTCTTCCTCGCTGAGGGGTGCTTCCAGCGAGGCGGCCTCTTCCGAGGCCTCCAGCTCCCCCGGGGCCTCCGTTTCTAGGAGAGGTTGCGCCTGCTGCAGAAACTCCGGGCTCGCCAGGAGCTCATCCAGCAGCAGGCCGCAGGGGAGTGCAGACCAGGGCGCCGGCTCCTGGAGCGCCTGGGAGGGCGCCGGGATGCCTTGCATCTGCCCCTGCCGCGCGGAGGCGTCCGGGGGCGCGGGCTGGGGAGGTGGAGCTGCCCCGGCTTGGGGTTCCCACGCCGCCCCGGCGACCTGGGGACCCCGGCCCCAGCCCCACCACGGACTCCCCTGGGACGTGGGTGGCGCAAGCACCCCTTGGCCCTGCGGCCCCGCTTGAGCGGGCCCAGGCTGTGCCACCGCGCAGGGGCCCGGCAGGCCGTCGCGCTGCGGGTCCCGGTCCTCCCGGCTTTTGCCCGGGTGCGGAGGCCACCGAGGAGCCTGAGGGTGGGAGAGCGCCCCGTCCGGAGGAGCCGGGGCGGCGTAGGCGAAATCCCCGCGCGCCGGGGCAGGTTGGGAGATCCCCTCTGCCGGCGCGGCCTGGCTGGGCTGCAGCGCGGGGGCGGCCCTCGCTGCCTGGCTCACGAAAGCCCCCTGTGGGAGAGCCCCAGGCGCGCAGGGCACGTGGGGTGCGGGAAGCCCCGTTCCCCACGCGCCGGTGTGGGCGAAGGCGACCCACGAGGGAGCAGGGTGACCCCCGCCGGGGGCCGCGCTGCACAGGCCGCCTGCCTGCGCGGGCGCCCTGCCACCCTGTCCCGGGTGCCTGGCCCTTCGATTCTGAAACCAGATCTGAATCCTGGACTCCGGGAGGCCCGTCTCTCTGGCCAGCTCCTCCCGGGCGGCGATGCCTGGAAAGCGATCCTTCTCAAAGGCTCGGAGGAGCAGGGCGGTCTGGGATCCGGTGACGGCGGTCCGCTTTCGCCGGCCTTCTGGCGGGCCGCGTCTCCCGGGCCAGGGCCGAGATTCCCGCCGGTGCTGCCTCAGCTGGCGTGACCTCTCATTCTGAAACCAAATCTGGACCCTGGGCTCCGGAATGCCGATGGCCTGGGCCAGCCGTTCTCTGGTGGCGATGCCCGGGTACGGGTTCCGCTCAAAGCAGGCTCGCAGGGCCTCGCTTTGGCTCGGGGTCCAAACGAGTCTCCGTCGCCGTCCTCGTCCCCGGGCTTCCGCGGGGAGGGTGCTGTCCGAAGGTGTCGGGAGGGCCATCGCGGTGAGCCCCGGCCGCAATTTCACGGACGGACGCGGGCAGAGAGAGGCCGGCGGGCTCCCGTGCACCTCAGCCGGACTGTGCACTGCGGCAGGTGCAGCCAGGAGGCCTGCCCGGACAGCCAGCCAGCCAGCCAGCCGCCCTTGTAAAGGCCCACGGGCAGGCAGGCTCCACCCCTTCATGAATGGCGGTGAGCCCCCCTGGGACAGCCCGCCCCACCCCGGAAGGGACCCAGGGCGTCGAGGCCTGGGGCCGGCCGGCGGGGTGGTGGTGGTGGTGGTGGTGGTGGTGGTGTGGGGTGGGGGGGGTGGTGGGGGAGGGCGTGGTGGCGGTGGTGGTGGTGGGGCCGGAGAGACGAAGAGGAAGGGGGAGAGGGGGGAGGGGGGAGGGGGGCGCGTTTCGGGGGCCGGCTCTCCGGACCTCTCCAGGGATCCCGCGGGAACGGGAAGCCGCTCTCTGGGCTCCCACGCGTCGGCAGCAGGGAGAAACCAGCCTGGGAGGGTGGAGGGGAGTGTGGAACTGAACCTCCGTGGGAGTCTTGAGTGTGCCAGGCCCTCTCTCCGTGAAGGAGGCAATGCCTGTGGGCGTCGCCGTTGCCGGGACGGTCTCGCACACGCAGGCGTGTGGCTCTCGTTCATTTCCACGTAGAAGACCAGAGCGAGACCCCAGAGAGGAGATGCCTCCCCGGCGTGATGGCCTGACGATGGATTCCCGCGTGCGGCAACGTGGGGAGTCTGCAGTGTGGCCGGTTTGGAACCTGGCAAGGAGAGCGAAGGCACCGTGCCGGGCTTGCACCCTCCCCTGCATGTTTCCGGGTGCCCGCAGAGCTCCGGGAGCAAACAGTCGGCATGGCCAGCCTTTCGGGGGCCGGAGAGACGTGAGCAACAGGCCGCCTTGCAGAGGGCAAAGCCACGCGGAAACCAAAATCACGCCTCCGTCGTCCTGCGTGTGGCTCCTCCGTGGCCGGGGCTGTCGGCCTCGCGCCGCGTTGCAGGGCTCAGCCTGGGGATGTGCGGTCTGTGAACCGCGCGGGTGAAAACCCGACGGCAACCCGAGTCCCGGTCTTTTGTCCCGGAGGAAACCGCCCACTCCCTGGGCCCCGGAACCGGGGCGAATGGGTGGTGCCCCGCCGGCCGGCGCGGCGGCTGTGGGCCCAGCCCTCAGCCCGCGCCGGACGCTGACCGTTTTCCCGGAGGGCGGGGGTCCCGCTACTCCCGGAGGCCGAAGACCGCTTTTCCTCCCTGCCTTCCTCCCCCCGTCCCCGGCTCCCTCCCGCCCGCCCCCAGTCCCTGCGTCGCTCTGTCTTTCCCTCCGTTCCTCCCTGCCTCCCTGCCTCCCTGCCTCCCTCCCTCCCTCCTAACGTCCCTCCGCCCATCCTTCCGCCCCTCTAGGTCTCCCGTTCCTCTCTCCATCTCTGCCCGCCTTCCCTCCCGCCTGGAACGCTCAGCGTCCCCGGTGTGCGCCGGGCCTGGGGTCTGCGTTCCGCCTCCAGGCGCTCCGTGCTGGCACCTGGGCGGCTGCAGGGGCCCGGGCGGGCGGGCCACGGTGGCGCGGGGGCGCAGAGGAGGCGAGCCGCCGGAGCGGTGTCAGGCCCGGACGCTGCGCGGGGCCCGGTGTTTCGCGGGACGGGGGTCTCCACCCAGCCCAGGGGACGACGCGTTTTCCGGGGGCGGGGGGTGGGGGTGGGGAGGGGGCGGTCAGGCGGCGGGGTGGGCTGGTGGAGAGGCAGGAGAGCTCTGCCCGGGCTGCTCCCACAGCCCAGGCGGCTGCCCGCAAACCCGCGCGTGCGCAGTAGGCGGCCCACCTGCTGGTACCTGGGCCGGCTCTGGGATCCCCGGGATGCCCAGGAAAGAATGGCAGTTCTCCGCTGTGTGGAGTCTCTCACCGGGCCTAGGCCTAGAAGGCAGGAATCCCAGGCCGGTCAGCCCGGTGGAGGGGGCGGGGCGGAGACACGCCCCTCCGTAGCCAGCCAGGCGTTCCCCGCGAAAGAGAGGCCACCGCCCTGCCCCGAACCACCCGACCCCGTCCCAACCCCGCGTCCTAAAGCTCCTCCAGCAGAGCCCGGTATTCTTCCTCGCTGAGGGGTGCTTCCAGCGAGGCGGCCTCTTCCGAGGCCTCCAGCTCCCCCGGGGCCTCCGTTTCTAGGAGAGGTTGCGCCTGCTGCAGAAACTCCGGGCTCGCCAGGAGCTCATCCAGCAGCAGGCCGCAGGGGAGTGCAGACCAGGGCGCCGGCTCCTGGAGCGCCTGGGAGGGCGCCGGGATGCCTTGCATCTGCCCCTGCCGCGCGGAGGCGTCCGGGGGCGCGGGCTGGGGAGGTGGAGCTGCCCCGGCTTGGGGTTCCCACGCCGCCCCGGCGACCTGGGGACCCCGGCCCCAGCCCCACCACGGACTCCCCTGGGACGTGGGTGGCGCAAGCACCCCTTGGCCCTGCGGCCCCGCTTGAGCGGGCCCAGGCTGTGCCACCGCGCAGGGGCCCGGCAGGCCGTCGCGCTGCGGGTCCCGGTCCTCCCGGCTTTTGCCCGGGTGCGGAGGCCACCGAGGAGCCTGAGGGTGGGAGAGCGCCCCGTCCGGAGGAGCCGGGGCGGCGTAGGCGAAATCCCCGCGCGCCGGGGCAGGTTGGGAGATCCCCTCTGCCGGCGCGGCCTGGCTGGGCTGCAGCGCGGGGGCGGCCCTCGCTGCCTGGCTCACGAAAGCCCCCTGTGGGAGAGCCCCAGGCGCGCAGGGCACGTGGGGTGCGGGAAGCCCCGTTCCCCACGCGCCGGTGTGGGCGAAGGCGACCCACGAGGGAGCAGGGTGACCCCCGCCGGGGGCCGCGCTGCACAGGCCGCCTGCCTGCGCGGGCGCCCTGCCACCCTGTCCCGGGTGCCTGGCCCTTCGATTCTGAAACCAGATCTGAATCCTGGACTCCGGGAGGCCCGTCTCTCTGGCCAGCTCCTCCCGGGCGGCGATGCCTGGAAAGCGATCCTTCTCAAAGGCTCGGAGGAGCAGGGCGGTCTGGGATCCGGTGACGGCGGTCCGCTTTCGCCGGCCTTCTGGCGGGCCGCGTCTCCCGGGCCAGGGCCGAGATTCCCGCCGGTGCTGCCTCAGCTGGCGTGACCTCTCATTCTGAAACCAAATCTGGACCCTGGGCTCCGGAATGCCGATGGCCTGGGCCAGCCGTTCTCTGGTGGCGATGCCCGGGTACGGGTTCCGCTCAAAGCAGGCTCGCAGGGCCTCGCTTTGGCTCGGGGTCCAAACGAGTCTCCGTCGCCGTCCTCGTCCCCGGGCTTCCGCGGGGAGGGTGCTGTCCGAAGGTGTCGGGAGGGCCATCGCGGTGAGCCCCGGCCGCAATTTCACGGACGGACGCGGGCAGAGAGAGGCCGGCGGGCTCCCGTGCACCTCAGCCGGACTGTGCACTGCGGCAGGTGCAGCCAGGAGGCCTGCCCGGACAGCCAGCCAGCCAGCCAGCCGCCCTTGTAAAGGCCCACGGGCAGGCAGGCTCCACCCCTTCATGAATGGCGGTGAGCCCCCCTGGGACAGCCCGCCCCACCCCGGAAGGGACCCAGGGCGTCGAGGCCTGGGGCCGGCCGGCGGGGTGGTGGTGGTGGTGGTGGTGGTGGTGGTGTGGGGTGGGGGGGGTGGTGGGGGAGGGCGTGGTGGCGGTGGTGGTGGTGGGGCCGGAGAGACGAAGAGGAAGGGGGAGAGGGGGGAGGGGGGAGGGGGGCGCGTTTCGGGGGCCGGCTCTCCGGACCTCTCCAGGGATCCCGCGGGAACGGGAAGCCGCTCTCTGGGCTCCCACGCGTCGGCAGCAGGGAGAAACCAGCCTGGGAGGGTGGAGGGGAGTGTGGAACTGAACCTCCGTGGGAGTCTTGAGTGTGCCAGGCCCTCTCTCCGTGAAGGAGGCAATGCCTGTGGGCGTCGCCGTTGCCGGGACGGTCTCGCACACGCAGGCGTGTGGCTCTCGTTCATTTCCACGTAGAAGACCAGAGCGAGACCCCAGAGAGGAGATGCCTCCCCGGCGTGATGGCCTGACGATGGATTCCCGCGTGCGGCAACGTGGGGAGTCTGCAGTGTGGCCGGTTTGGAACCTGGCAAGGAGAGCGAAGGCACCGTGCCGGGCTTGCACCCTCCCCTGCATGTTTCCGGGTGCCCGCAGAGCTCCGGGAGCAAACAGTCGGCATGGCCAGCCTTTCGGGGGCCGGAGAGACGTGAGCAACAGGCCGCCTTGCAGAGGGCAAAGCCACGCGGAAACCAAAATCACGCCTCCGTCGTCCTGCGTGTGGCTCCTCCGTGGCCGGGGCTGTCGGCCTCGCGCCGCGTTGCAGGGCTCAGCCTGGGGATGTGCGGTCTGTGAACCGCGCGGGTGAAAACCCGACGGCAACCCGAGTCCCGGTCTTTTGTCCCGGAGGAAACCGCCCACTCCCTGGGCCCCGGAACCGGGGCGAATGGGTGGTGCCCCGCCGGCCGGCGCGGCGGCTGTGGGCCCAGCCCTCAGCCCGCGCCGGACGCTGACCGTTTTCCCGGAGGGCGGGGGTCCCGCTACTCCCGGAGGCCGAAGACCGCTTTTCCTCCCTGCCTTCCTCCCCCCGTCCCCGGCTCCCTCCCGCCCGCCCCCAGTCCCTGCGTCGCTCTGTCTTTCCCTCCGTTCCTCCCTGCCTCCCTGCCTCCCTGCCTCCCTCCCTCCCTCCTAACGTCCCTCCGCCCATCCTTCCGCCCCTCTAGGTCTCCCGTTCCTCTCTCCATCTCTGCCCGCCTTCCCTCCCGCCTGGAACGCTCAGCGTCCCCGGTGTGCGCCGGGCCTGGGGTCTGCGTTCCGCCGCCAGGCGCTCCGTGCTGGCACCTGGGCGGCTGCAGGGGCCCGGGCGGGCGGGCGACGGTGGCGCGGGGGCGCAGAGGAGGCGAGCCGCCGGAGCGGTGTCAGGCCCGGACGCTGCGCGGGGCCCGGTGTTTCGCGGGACGGGGGTCTCCACCCAGCCCAGGGGACGACGCGTTTTCCGGGGGCGGGGGGTGGGGGTGGGGAGGGGGCGGTCAGGCGGCGGGGTGGGCTGGTGGAGAGGCAGGAGAGCTCTGCCCGGGCTGCTCCCACAGCCCAGGCGGCTGCCCGCAAACCCGCGCGTGCGCAGTAGGCGGCCCACCTGCTGGTACCTGGGCCGGCTCTGGGATCCCCGGGATGCCCAGGAAAGAATGGCAGTTCTCCGCTGTGTGGAGTCTCTCACCGGGCCTAGGCCTAGAAGGCAGGAATCCCAGGCCGGTCAGCCCGGTGGAGGGGGCGGGGCGGAGACACGCCCCTCCGTAGCCAGCCAGGCGTTCCCCGCGAAAGAGAGGCCACCGCCCTGCCCCGAACCACCCGACCCCGTCCCAACCCCGCGTCCTAAAGCTCCTCCAGCAGAGCCCGGTATTCTTCCTCGCTGAGGGGTGCTTCCAGCGAGGCGGCCTCTTCCGAGGCCTCCAGCTCCCCCGGGGCCTCCGTTTCTAGGAGAGGTTGCGCCTGCTGCAGAAACTCCGGGCTCGCCAGGAGCTCATCCAGCAGCAGGCCGCAGGGGAGTGCAGACCAGGGCGCCGGCTCCTGGAGCGCCTGGGAGGGCGCCGGGATGCCTTGCATCTGCCCCTGCCGCGCGGAGGCGTCCGGGGGCGCGGGCTGGGGAGGTGGAGCTGCCCCGGCTTGGGGTTCCCACGCCGCCCCGGCGACCTGGGGACCCCGGCCCCAGCCCCACCACGGACTCCCCTGGGACGTGGGTGGCGCAAGCACCCCTTGGCCCTGCGGCCCCGCTTGAGCGGGCCCAGGCTGTGCCACCGCGCAGGGGCCCGGCAGGCCGTCGCGCTGCGGGTCCCGGTCCTCCCGGCTTTTGCCCGGGTGCGGAGGCCACCGAGGAGCCTGAGGGTGGGAGAGCGCCCCGTCCGGAGGAGCCGGGGCGGCGTAGGCGAAATCCCCGCGCGCCGGGGCAGGTTGGGAGATCCCCTCTGCCGGCGCGGCCTGGCTGGGCTGCAGCGCGGGGGCGGCCCTCGCTGCCTGGCTCACGAAAGCCCCCTGTGGGAGAGCCCCAGGCGCGCGCATCCCAATGTCTCCCCATCTCCCCTCACACACTGCTGACTTGAGGCACAATAGATTTATAAAAAATGGCCTGACAAGGGTCTCCAGAAGTGTGCACAGATTTTCCCAGATCCCCAAAAGCAATGCCAAACTAGTCAGATC